>NC_000023.11:91553451-91856481 GCF_000001405.40 Homo sapiens | reverse complement strand
GGAACTTAAAAATGATAATAAAAAGAGAAAACTACAAGCAAATATCTCTGATGACTATTAATGCAAAAATCCTCAACAAAAATACTAGCAAACCAAATTCAACAATACATTAGAAAGATCATTCATCATAACCAAGTGGGATGTACCCCTGGTAAACAAGGATGGTTCAACATATGCAAATCAATGTGAGATATCATCAATAGAATGAAGGATAAAAACCATATGATCATTTCAATTGATGCTGAAAAAGCATTTTATAAAATTCAACATCCCTTCATGACAAAAACTCTCAAAAAACTGGGGATAGAAGGAACATATCTAAACACAATTAAAGTCACATATGAAAGATCCACAGCTAGTATCATACTAAATGTGGAAAAATGGAAATTCTTCCCTCTAAGATCTGGAACATGACAAGGATGCCCCCTGTCACCACTATTATTCAACATAGTACTGGTAGTCCTAGCTAGAGCCATCAGATAAGAGAAAGATATAAAGGTTATCCAAATTGGAAAGGAAGAATTCAAATTATCATTGTTTACAGATAATATGGTCTTATATTTGGAAAAAACTAAAGACTCCACAAGAAAACTATTAGAAATGATAAACAATTTCAGTAAAGATGCAGGATCCAAAATCAACATACAAAAATCAATACCACTTCTATATGCCAACAGCGACCAATGTGACAAAGAATTTAAAAATTATTTCCATTTATAATAGCCACACAAAAAATTAAATACCTAGGAATTAACTTATCCAAAGAAGTAAAAAATCTCAATCACGAAAACTATGAAACACTGATGAAAGCAATTGAAGAGGGCACCAAAAAAGGGAAAAAATATTCCATGTTCATAGATTAGAAGAATCAAAATTGTTAAAATGTCCATACTACCTAAAGCAATCTACAGGTTCAATGCAATCCCAATAAAAATTCCAATGATATTCTTCACAGAAATAGAAAAAAAATCCTCAGATTTGTATAGAACCACACAAAAAACCCAGTATAGACAAAGCTATCCTGAGCAAAAAGAACAAAACTGAAGGAATCACATTACCTGACTTCAAATTATACTACAGAGCTATAGTAACCAAATAGCATGGTATTGGCTTAAGAACAGACACATATACCAATGGAACAGAACAGATAACCCAGAAACAAATCCTCACTACTACAGTGAAATAATGTTTGACAAGGTTGCCAAAAACATACATTGGGGAAAATACAATCTCTTCAATAAATGGTGCTGGAAAAACCTGATATCCACATGCAGATGAATGAAATTAAACCCCTATCTCTCACCATATAGAAAAATCAAATCAAATTGGAGTAAATACTTAAATTTAAGATCTCAAGCTATTATACCATACAAGAAAACATTGGAAACAATCTCCAGGATGTTGGTCTGGGCAAAGATTTCTTGAGCAATACCTCACAAGCACAGGCAACCAAAGCAAAAATGGGCAAATGGGATCACATCAAGTTACAAAGCTTCTGCACAGCAAAGGACACAATCAAAAACAAAGTGAAGAGACAACCCACAGAATGGGAGAAAATATTGCAAACTACCCATCTGACAAAGGATTAATAATCTGAATATATGGAGAGCTCAAATCACTCTAGAGAAAAAGAAATCTAATATTGTAATAAAAAATGGGCAAAAGATTTGAATAGGCATTTCTCGAAATAAGATATACAAATGGCAAACAGGCATATGAAAAGATGTTTGACATAATTAATCATCAGAGAAATGCAAATCAAAACTACAATAAGATATTATCTCACCCCCTGGCTTTTATCTAAAAGACGGGTGGTAACAAATGTTGGCAACGATGTGGAGAAAAGGGAATCCTTGTACAGTGTTTGTGGGAATGTAAATTAGTACAATCACTTGGAGAACAGTTTGGAGGTTCCTCAAAAAACTAAGAATTGAGCTACCATTACAATCCAGCAATCCCATTGCTGGGTATACGCACAAAAGAAAGGAGATAAGTATATCAAAGTGATATCTGCACTCCCAGGCTTTTTTGCAGCACTATTCACAGTAGCCAAGATTTGGAAGCAACTGAAGTGTTCATCAACAGATGAATGGGTAAAGGAAATCTGGTACATATACAAAATGGAGTACTATTCAGAAAAGAGAATGAGAGCCTGTCATTTGCAACAACATGGATGGATGGATCATTATGTTAATTGAAGTAGGCCAGGCACAGAAAGAGAAACTTCACACGTTCTCACATATTTGTGGGAGCTAAAAATTTCAGCAATTGAACTCATGAAGACAGAGAGTAGAAGGTGGTTACCAGAGGCTAGCAAGGGTTGTTGGTAGGCAGGGGAGGTAGGGATGATTAATGGGTACCAAAAAAGAAAGAATGAATAAGACCTAGCGTTTGCTAACACAACAGGGTGGCTACAGTCAATAATAATTTAATCATATATTTTAAAATAACTAAAAGTATCATTGGATTGTGTGTAACACAAAGGATAAATGCTTGAGGGAATGGATGTCCCATTTACCACGATGTGATCATGACAATTGCATGTCTGTATCAAAGTATTTCATGTACCCCATGAATATATACACCTATGATGTACTAACAAAAATTAAAAAGAAAAAAGAAAAAAGAAAAAAGTAAATACATTAAAAATTTAAAAACACTATAAAATTCAAGAGCTAAGAACAATTTTTCATAAATAAATCTATAACTAAAAATATTCGCTTAAAAAACGCTTGTAATTAGTTCTATCACACACCACTATCAACTTTTGTGTCTCATTCATATATTGAATCTTCCATTAGTTTTTCCTTTGCCTAATTCTAGATGTCAATTTTTATCTTTTTCTTATCCATTAACAATCAGGAAATAGTTTCGCTCAAAGTTTATTATTTTAAAATTGCTAATAATTCTTACATAACTATGAAATCAAATTAGAAAAATAATGATTTTACTATTGAAAATAATAAAACTTCCTTTACTAGCTGAGGTTGAATCATTTATAATACATATACCAATATACTCATATGTATCAATTTTCTCATTCCAATTTTTTATGTTAAGATTTGAAATTAGGTTGGCAAAACATTCATATTTGATTAACATAAATATTCTATTTATGAAGTGGGTTCATTACATAAGATTTTGCTAGTGCTAATAATAAATATGTTTTCTGTATATATAAAACAAAATTAATATTGAAAAACTTTTGTGCAATTAGTGAAATGTAAATCTGACCTGAAATTAGAAGAAAACCACCTCAGGCTACTCTGTTTTATCATTTAGCACTGTGTTCCCCTTCAGTCACACAGATAAGAAAGTAACTTCTACATTTACGATAAATTATAACATATTATGAATTTGTTAAAAGGCACTATTACTTCATAAAATATCTTTTTATCAAAGGACTTGATATATGTCCTAATACTATTTCACCTATGACCACTAAAGTATGTGTTATTCAAATAGCATTTATTGTTTCAACATTTCTGAAATATTTTATCTGAGAATGCTCATCATTTGAAGGTTTTTGAAGGTTTTCAAGTCTGACTCCTTTTTGGAGTTAATAAAATCTTTCTATAAAATACAAAATCCTCTCTTATGAATATGTGTAAGGGTGAGCTAAAGCAATGGTTTTCTATTGTTGAAATTCCTGGGGCCCCCACCGCAACCCGAGAAAACATTTGTCAAACTCTGGAGACATTTTTGCTTGTCACAATTGGGCAAGAGAGTGCCACTAAGATCTATTTGGTAGAGGCCAGAGATGCTGCCAAACTTCCTGCAGTGCATAAGACAGCTCTCACACCACCCCACAAGGAAGAATTATCTAGCTTCAAATGTCAATAATGCCAAGGTTGAGAAGCCCTAGGCCAACACAATGAAAATTGCAATCCTAGAAGAAAAAGACTAAATTGTACCCCAATAGAAATTTTACTCTGAAATCGGCATAAATGGAATTATAAATGTAGGGTCCAGCAAATAATCAGAAAAGACTCTGAGAAAATATAAATGTATAGAAACTAATAACATTTGTGCATTAGAATCATTTGTGCAAACATCATTTTTTTAGGGCATTAAACTGACTATAACAAAACATACTTTTGTTTAGACTTTCGTATCTTGTGGCTAATTAAAAACCCGTAAGTCATTAACAAATAATACCTAATTTTGGGCTGGGCATGGTAGCTCATGCCTGTAATCCCAGCACTTTGGGAGGCCGAGGCGGGAGGATCACCTGAGGTCAGAAGTTCTAGACCAGCCTGGCCAACATGGTGAAACCCCGTCTCTACTAAAAATACAAGAAATTAGCTGAGTGCGGTGGTGGGCGCCTGTAAGCCCAGCTACTCAGGAGGCTAAGGCAGGAGAATTGCTTGAACCCGGGAGGCGGAGGTTGTAGTGAGCCGAGATCGTGCCATTGCACTCCAGCCTGGGCAACAAGAGTGAAACTCCGTCTCAAAAAAGAAAAAAAAAAAAAAAGAATTCCTAATTTTATGAAAATAGAAATGAAATAAATGCTTTGAGTAGGAGAAATTTTTTTTTTCCTCTCACTATCCTAGAAAAACATGAAAAGCAAAGCTTTTGACTTAGATTATTTGTATGCCAGGACAGAATAGCAGCAAACCAGTTTCTATTTGTTACCAATGGAAGTAGGGCCTGAAAGCTGCAACATTTATACAACAGCTTGAAAATAGAGGTGATAAAAATCAATGCATATGTAAAATATAATACTTGGGTTTATGTAAATCCAATTAGTCTAACGATCAGACCACCTGACTACAGAACTGGAGAAATCTTCATTTCCTCAGCCGACCTGTCAATTTCAACGAAAAATTTAAAATCAAACTTTGACTTAGGTTCCAAGACAAGTTCTTAATCAGAGCTAAAACCACAGGTGACAAAGAACTGAGGACACCCCATTTACCCTGATGTGATTATTACACATTGTATGACTGCATCAAAATATCTCATGTACCCCACAAATACGTACACCTACTATGTACTCATAAAAATTAAAAATGGAAGAAGAACAACTAAAAATATGGAAAAGAGTACGTATCCATAGAAGACATTAGTCTATTTATTTGATATGAATAAATGTCCAACTCTTTTTATTTTATGTTTAAGTTACATCTAATATTGGTAATTATTTCTTAAATGAAAGTGGCAAGTGTATTTGATCTGACAATATCATATGAAAAACTACAGTGGTTTAAATACCTAGGTTTTACAGGTAATTTTAATATTTTAATGTAATTTTTATAATTTCATGCATTATTTAGTGATTTTCTGATGTACAGTCAGTAAACATGTTTATGACAAAATATGGATAATTTTCCACAGCTCCCTACATCTTAATTAATCAGCATCACATTGAGCAATAATATGTAATTCAATCTATAGTGCAGAAAAAAAACACAATAGGATGAAAGCAGAATTATCACTACTTTGTAATCTACCAGGAAGCTGATCTTCATCCCTTACCTATTATAACATTGCATCTCCCTTATTCTCCTAAAATAGCTGTCACAAATATCAAAAGATGTGGCAGTTCTTGACAGTTAAGGGTTATACAATAAATGCTTCAACAGTATACAGTTAGCAGAAGGAGTTTTTAGTTTAAATCTTTTTAATTGGGAATATCAAGGCTTTTGTCTCCTTTTTATGATCTACTTTGAATAATGCTTACCAATTGGTAAGGACATATATAGGTAAACCTGTTTTCAATCCGTGAGCAGCCACATGTTTTAATTTAAAAGTGAAAAAAGAACAAGGTATACATCTAATTGTAATACAAATGTTGTATTTGGAAAGTCATATCTTGATAAGATTTTTAAGACAATGTTCTCAAAATTGAGTTCCAAACTATAATGCCCACAAAAACGTTTTGTAACATTGATAAGTTGCTATGATAAAAGGATGATAATTGAGCAATATGGTAGAAAATATTTTAAAAATACTTTTTATCTTGTCTAAAAATTAATGTAAAGTTCTAATATATCAGAGCCAGTATAATATTTATACTTTCCTTCTGGGAATCAAAGCAGAAGTTAAAATTGTAGGTATCCACAGCCTCTATATGTTATCACAGCATCTAATTGTAAGAAAAATGGTTTAAAATGTATGCAAGGCTACCAAGAAAATCTTCAAAACGAATGTAGCAATGCCAAAATAAACAGTTAAAAGAGGAATCTCTTATCAATGATGCCTATTACACTGAGGTTTGTGACACCTACAAGATCCAATTATAATTCTCTTAAAAATCCCTATTATTCTAAATAGACACACCTATTTGGTTTGACTTAATCTCTTAGAAGAGTAACAGATGCTGCTCCTTGTAAGATACTCTAAATGTAATAGAAACCAAGAATAAGGGTGCTACAACACTGAACTAAACTAAAGAGGGGAGTTTACTAATAACAGAAAAGAACATCTAATGGAGATTTGAGCTTATCTAATCCTATGAATAATTCTGGACTATTAAAAAATATTTTCTGAGAATCTTGAAATGCATTTGCTAAAGTAGATAATTTCTAGGAAGTATTTTTAAAGTATTTTGAAGGAAAATGAAATGTAGTAGGATGTAGTGGGGAGGGATATGATTCATGAAATTTGATTATTAACTTCTGAATAATGAAGAATTGGCTATGTTTTCAAATAAATTAGCTATACATATTATGCTAAATGTACTTTCAGGAACATAATGGCATGTACAAAGAATCCTGGATATTAAAGCAATGCTCAGGTAATAGACTTTGAAGTTATGTTTTCATTATCAAACACTAATAAAATCACAATACCTCAAAAATTTGACAACACTGGGATATATATATTGAAATATAGTGAACCCTATCAATGATAGTAGACTGGTAAACATTTGGTAAATACGGATTTTTAACTTCTGAAATAGACATTTTTCTCTTATCAAAATCAAGTTTCTGATTTGGCAAACTGCCAAGTAGTGAAATAAAAATAATTAATATAAAGATAACTCATGGACACAAAGAAGGGAACAACAGATATTGGGCCTACTTTAGGGTGGAGGGTGAGAGGAGAGAGAAGAGCAGAAAAAAATAACTATTGGGTACTTACCTGTCTTAGTACCTGGGTGATGAATTAATCTGTACAATAAACCCCCAAGACAGGAGTTTACCTATATAACAAACCTGCACATGTACTCCTAAACCTAAAATAAAACTTTAAAAAAACTAAAAAGTAAGTAAATAGTAAAGTTAAGGAACCTAATAATAAGTAATTTGCATTTTCAACATCATTACTCTAAAATTGAATGTGGACTAGTAAAACATTAGATTATTAAGCTAACTGAACTCTATACCACATCTTGTATTTAACTTGATTTTTATTATCACCATAATTATTTAGGTTTATAGCAATTGCTATTAATTCTATTGACTAGATACTTAAATTTAATTCAATTATTTTTATTAGGGACTATGCTAAATATTCAAGCTATCTCTATTAATTAAAGGCAAGTTTCAAAATAAACATACTTGGAAAGTGTTTAGTAATTCATAAAATTACTTCTTTTCATAAGTAATGTCATATAAAGAAATCAGTAATCCTGATATGCATAGTTGAATTGTAAAGTAGAAGTCTTCATCGTAGCAGGTTCAATGAGTCAATGTACGTAGAAATTTTTTTGTGGACCAAACTTATACTTATCTTTAGAAAAGTGATTAGTTCTGTTATAATAGGATACAGGCATTTAAGTCACCATCAAATGATACATGCTGCATATGAAATATATAATATCCAAAACCCTGAGTGAAAAATTCAGGCAAATGAATGTAGAAATCCAAAACATATGATGCAAAAATAAACTATTATGGGTGACAGCACATTTTGTATTGTTGATGAATGGAGACAAACAGCAAAATACAAATTTGATCCCAAATCAATGGTATCGATTATCTTCAAACCAGTAACACAGGAAAGTATAACAAAAATAATTAGATTATTGGTGACACCATGTTTTGTAATGTAGATGAACAAAGACAGACAACACTTGATCCTGCATCAATGGTATCAATTATCTTCAAGCCAGTATAATAGAAGACAGTATAAGCTGTTCTAAATATTTATGAAGAATATGTCCATGGAGATACAGTCATAAAGAATGTGCCTGTAGTCCCAGCTACTCGGGAGGCTGGGGCAGGAGAATAGAGTGAACCCCCATGGGGCGGAGTCTGCAGTGAGCCGAGATCGCATCATTGCACTTCAGCCTGGGCAACAGCGAGACTCTGTCTCAAGAAAAAAAAAAAACAAAAAAAAAATTCCTCTCTTACAAAAACCACTCAGAGCTTTGGCTCCACAATCTAAAACCTCATTTTGGAAAGCTGCTTAAGTGGCTCTGTATCTCATCCTGTCTTCAGGCTATACTCACATGGCCTGTAGACAAATGGCTATTTAGGGAAATATGTGTAGAAAAGGAGAAACTCGGTCACACATTGAGCTTCTGAAAACTTTACTTGTTTAGTAACTTGGCAAGACATTTAATACCTCCTACATTTTGTGGATCAGTGCATAGAAGCAAACGACATAGTCTTCACCTATTTGAATAATATCAAAGGAAATAGAAATCTTATGTCCAAAAGTAACATAATTCTAAATGCAATTATGCCTGTTTTCCATGTCTGTTTTTTTTGTGTGTGTAAAATTTAGCTTTAGAAAACACTACATTAGATGAACAATGCCAGCTCAGAAAAAAATTCACCCTATGTAAGCTTGATGACAGCGTTTCTGCTGTTAGACAATTCTTCAGAAGCTAGTCTTTTGCCAACAGAACCAAGTCAGCCTGAGAGTCGCTCTGCTAAATTAAAACAGAGTGAAGTTCAAGTTTGTGCAAGTAATAGTTGACCCCAATGATGTTTTGCAGAAGATGGCAGCTCTCTGGCTCAAGGTAGACGAGACCTTCAGAAGAAGGATGTAAAATGGAAAAGAAGGAATTACTGTAGAAATTTGGGGTTTTAAATATTGTGACTATATATTCTGGTTGTCCCTGTTTAATTTAATTTAATGTCCCTGTTTAATCTTAATTTGGAGGATAAATGATATACCCATCCTAATATTATACAGGGCAAATAGATAACAAAAATTCATAAGAGGATAAAATACATATTAAAAAATGTACAAAAAACGTTGGGCCTGGTAGTGCTAGCCTGTAGTCTCAGCTTCTAAGGAGGCTGAGGCAGGGGAATTGATTGAGCCCAGGAGTTCAAGGCTGTAGCATGCCATGATTGTGCCTGTGCAAAGCCACTACACTCCAGCCTGGGCAACACTGTGAGACCCTGTCTCTATAATACACACACACACACACACACAAAGGACACAAAGATAATTCATTCTTTAAGCTACAAAATGAATCTTTGTACACTGTACACTGTACAGGTCAAACCATTTGTCCACTGCCTCTGTGAAAAATCATTTGAGAAAGCAATACTTAATAATAAATATTGCCTAAGCAGTCATCAAAATAAACAGCTATCTTTTTAAGAAGCACCGACTGATAACTGCAACTAGGAAAGCAAATCCAATTATTCATGAAATAGCAATTGCTAACCATGTAGGAAAGCATAGAGTTATGCAGTCAGTTATTTGTGAGGAAACAACAAAACTCTCAACATCACACTGTAAACACAAAACAAAAAAGCTGTTGTCAGTAAAAAGAAGTGTCAATAATTCCTTGTGGCAATGCACCACAAATATGGGTGAATAAACTATCACTAACTCATTGAAATAATCACAAATTTAAGGAAACTTAACAGCAGCAACAGATTAAACAATTGTCAATGAACTGTGTAACAAGGCATGGAGACACTTTAAAATAACTTTTTTCTTTTTTTTTTTTTTGAGATGGAGTCTTACTCTGTCGCCCAGGCTGGAGTGCAGTGGCGCGATCTGGGCTCACTTCAAGCTCCGCCTCCCGGGTTCACGCTGTTCTCCTGCCTCAGCCTCCGGAGTAGCTGGGACTACAGGAGCCCGCGACCACGCCCGGCTAATTTTTTTGTATTTTTAGTAGAGACTTGGTTTCACCATGTTAGCCAGGATGGTCTCAATCTCCTGACCTCGTGATCCGCCCGCCACGGCCTCCGAAAGTGCTGTGATTACAGGCATGAGCCACCGCGCCCGGCCTAAAATAACTCTTGAGGTTACATAAGAACATAGTTTATGTTTACTTATAGCTGTATCTAATCTAATTAAGAACTTGTTCCTTAAGATGAAAAAAAGAAACAAAAATAATTGTGTCACTAAATTCCATAGTTGCCTGGTAATAACAGGAAGGTTATTGGGTAAAATGCCATTTTTTACATTAATCAATACCTAAAATAAGGCCAGTCACTATTTTGTGGTGTAAAATAGTAATGTAAAACATTATTTCAGAAAGAAATCATTTTTTTTTTGCTTCACACCTTTATAGTCTAGATTGTAGAACACCAGACATAGTTACAATGAGATTACAATTTACAAAACATCCACAAAACAGTTGGAGAAAAATTTTAAATTACTTACATTTCCATTAGTATATTTGAGTAGAAAATATAGCTTAAGAAGTCTTGTCTATTAGATAAATAATTAAAATCCAATTTCTAAGAGCTAAAGAGATTATCAGTTTTATTAAACTGGTTACCTTACACGTAAACTAGTTTTCTGTGTGAGAGCTCTAGCTATATGAAAATGCTTTCATTTTAGCAGTTAGGTAATTGATCTTAAACATATAGATAAACAGAGTATAATTAACCTCTAACTATAGGGAAAATAGATTATAGAGAAATGTTTAGAATCTTAAAAGCTGCAGATGAATAAATGGGCTATAAATAGCCTATACAGAAGCCAGCCAATGACTTTCCAATTTAGGGCCATATATCCATTCCCCAATGAGGTCATCTTCACTTTTCCAGGCCCATGAGTACTTCTAGTTAAAAAGGTGCATTCCTATACCATTACTATGGTTTCCAAAGGATTAAACATTGATAGCATGGTCATTGTTACTTCTTCAACTTGGAGATTTCTACATAGGGTTTGGAATCTAGGAAAATGATGCATTTGATGGGGGTAATATAGCTATCTGTGACTGATCCCTTAGGAATAACTTTCCTCACAGCAAAATTAAAAGATTTAAATGCCTCCTGAAACACACAGGATCTGTTAAATACTTACATCCTCCAAGCCAAAGCAGTATGAAACCACTAAACACAAAATCAAATAATCAGCATCAGAATCTTATTATATTGTGTATTCAAACAATGTAAGTAGCCTTCATTTTATATTTACTTATTTATTGAAGGTAGTTTAATGAGTTAATTGAATATGCATTAGTTTGTAACTAAGCATGATCATATTCTTTGGCTTTTTGATATCTATACGCAATCTAAAATTCATCCATATAATCATTCAGTGACTTAAATAAAGCACTCTGTTCAACTAAAAGTAATCCATAAAGTCTTAAACTTCTTAATTTATTTATAGTCCATTAAATTGTTTCTCTAGAATTCATGCATCCAGACCGTAGAGGCAGTATATGATTATCTAGAACACAACTTCGTTCTTCTGTTAACCATTTACTTTGTTATTTGCATTACTGACAGCAATGCTCCCCTTGTTCCACTGTCCTTAGGATGCAGGCTGTTTATTCTGCTATATTTCCCTGGTCAAACTATTTTAAATGAATTCTTCTAAACAACTCTTGTCCTCAGAGGATATCTTGGCTCTCTTATAAGCCAGAAAAACATACTAGCATCCAGGAAAGGCTTGTTATAGCAAATCTTCTGCTTGAAAAAGGATATTTTAAGACCTATTTAATTTAGAATAATTAAAAATAAAAAAGTTCAAGTATGTTATTACACACCTGTTCTACAAAATCTACTGGAAAAAAAAAACAGTCGTGATTGTCTTAGAAAGGGGATAGGAAAATAAGTTCTCAGCTTGAAAAAACAAAAGACAAGAGAGGAAATCTTTTTTAAAAAAATAAGGGCATATGAATGAGATGTAAATAAAGCAATTCCAGATGGTAGAGGCAGTATATGAGAAAGTACTCATATTAGCAGTATCACTGTCATATGGAGGGCCACGAGGAGACAAAGACAAATGAAGAGGAGACATTTGATTCAAGAGATAAGCCAAAGAGGGTAAGTGGAAGACTTAAAACAAAACAAAACAAAACAAAAACTGAACTAGGTCCAGAAAAAAATGTAGAGCCAGTGGCACTGATCAAGAAATAGATTAATGTTGTCATATTTTTCTCTGTATACATACATAAAACATGTATGGAAAACTAAGTTTAAGTCGTAAAATAGGCTTTTTAAGGAGTATGAAGCATCAACTCTTAGAAAAATTGTGAAAGACTGTAATTAACCTCAACCTACAGAGTAAAACCCATAACTATTGTTTACAGAACAGTTTTCTTCAGGGTACTCAGCAAACTTTATAGATTTTACTTACATCATTAGCTTTTATAATATCCCTGCATGCTACATAAGGATAATTTTAATTTTCTCTATTATATAGGAGAGGAATTGTAGGCACAGATAACAAGTTTGAGAATTAAGATAATAGAAAGACTTAGGTAATTACCACAACTAGCACAAGAATTACCATTGTCATCAAAAGGTTTTATTTCCAGTCTCAAAATGATTGTGCAGATAAATGTTGGCAAAAAGTATTAACTGCCATAATTGCAAACCTAGTAACAAAATAAGATATCATAAGTTAATGAGAGTGCTTGGTAAAAATCTACTAAAAATAGATATAAAATTTTAACTTTTCTGAGACAATAAAACTTTAAATAATTCCATTTTCTTAATGGCAGCATGATTAATTTAAGATAAAATGTTCTTATAACATAATAAATATGGCCAAGTGTGATGGCTCATGCCTGTAACCATGACATTTCAGGAGGCCGAGGCAGGAGGATCACTGGAGGTCAGGAGTTTGAGCCCCTGGCCAAAATGGTGAAACCCTGTCTCTACTAAAAATACAATAACAACAACAAAATTAGCCAAGCTTTGTGGCAGACGTCTGTAGTCCCAGCTACTCGGGAGGCTAAGGTAGGAGAATCAATTGAACTCAGGAGGTGGAGGTTGCAGTAAGCCGAGATCGTGCCACTGCACTCTAGCCTGGGCGACAGAGCAAGGCTGTGTCTCACAAAGAAAAAGAAAGAAAAAAGATACACACACACACACACACACACACACACACACACACACATAAGTATGTATGTATATATAAAATAAATATTCTTTCCTCTTTACTATCATTAGAGCAAAAATATAATCCTGATAATGCCTGTTATTAATCTCCTTGGGGACACTGACTGTTTTCCAAACACATTTTTTATCCCTCAAGACTTTGTACATTGAGCACTCATTAAATATGTGTTAAATTTAGATTACTGGAATTAGACTAAGATATTAGTTAGCAGTCAGTTGTTACATCTAGACAAAATTTAATAGAACAGCCTTTCATTCTTTAGAATTTCACTTCATTGTATTGAAGAAGCTTAAAATAATGAAATTCTATATATAAAATAAGTAAAAGGATGAGAAATATTCATGATAATACTCTACATAAAATAAAATTCCAGATTAAGTGAGATCGCAAAGACAAATGTAAATTAGGTTAGAAAATCCAAAACTTCATTTTATGATTTTCAACTTTTAAAATCCTTTGTTTTGCTTAATGAAACAAAATTCACACTTACTTTGCAAAATATGTCTTTTAAAATATGTTTCCTATATATGACGTTATACTACTTTCCTCAGTTTACCAGCAAGTATAGAGATATGTGCATGCAGCAATTAAAACATGCTACCACTAAATACTCTTCCAATGTATAAAGAATAAGCAATAGGTTTCTTATGATTGTTCACCTAGAAGTACCTCTTCTATTTCAAAGGAAATACAAAATAGATAACTAGCGATATTTTTATAGTTTTAATTGCTAAAAAGTGTGTGTCCACATGTATTCTATTTTGATGCCCTTAGTGCTCTAGTAATAGATATTTAACATTTTATGGATAAAACACTTTATTACCTATTTGTAGAATAGATTGGTGAAGATATAATTTGTGCAAGCAAAAGACCAATGAAAAAAGGACATTTCAAAAATAATTAAGAAAATTAAGTTCTGCGTTATTTAATTAAATTAGACTCAATATTTTCCTTCCTCCAGTGACATCTACCTGCACTGGGAAATTGAAAGACACTTGAACAACAATCTGCTAAAATTTAATTTGTGGTCAAAGCAATTTATTTGGTCTATTAGGCTACTAGATTATTTAATTATTCATTCTTGATTAGTTTTGTGAAGATGACTGTACACTGATAAATACAAAAGGGAGAATATTAATTTCTTCAGTATTTGATTTTTAAGTGAGAATTAGTTTTCATCTGCACTTTATAGTTTTTGCTAAAGACCAATTCCATCAAAAACTGGTCCAAACTCATACCCTGGTAAAATCATGAAGATAGATACATTATTTTATAGATAAAACTCAAACAAACTCAGAAAGTTTTCTGCAGAATGACCTTATTGCTTTTATCATCACTTCTCATACAAGGTGTCATCACCTCTGATACAGAAATCTTACCAATCCATCAATTTATTTTATCTAAGATTGAAAGATCACACTTCAGTTCACTAAGAGAGTGTCTCCACAGCAGTGTTGTTATATAATCAATATAAATCAGTGTAGACAAAAAGAATAATTTATGCCAAGAAAACTACCCACATTGGGATATTTATAATCTTAGATTATTAGCATTGATCAAAATTGTTAAAGACAATTAGATCTGTGTAATACAACCTCATGTTTTCATTAAATAATTCTATACCAATTAATTTTGTCTTATAAAAATATGTTTTTATTTTAGGATTTAAGTCATTTCCTTTGGCAAGAATAATATTAAGTTCAAATTTATTTTTATTTAGATACAGTGGACAATGAAATAACAGATCAATACATCTGTATCTAATAACATAAAATTTAGTGGTGCTTCTTATAGTTAGTTGGTAATATTAAGTTAAGAGGCATGATGTGAGTAGATCACTCAGATTTGGGAACACATTTGTTCTTCAGAGCCTCAATTTATAAATTCCAGAATTGAACTATTTACGATGTCCAACTTACGTTCCATAAGTGTCCATCCATACTGTGGGATTTTTAATAACAGATGTATTTAACAAAAGGCATTAGTGGACGATGAACACTAACCAAGACTCTGATAATAGTAATGAAGTCAAAAGTTACTTAATCCTATTAGTGTCACACTCTCATTTGTTAAGACCTGACAGCATTAATAAAGATTCATTTATGAAGACAATGAGTTTTATGTTGTCATTTTTTCCCCAGTGGAAGTGTACTTTGATAATAACCCCAGCTTTCAGAAACCTCATAGTCGTTAGCATTTGATTGTCATCTCTTTTGCTTTTTAACATTAGATCAAAAATATTAATATGCAAATTATAGAATTCAGAGACTATAAAATCAAGTAATCTTAAAGCTGAAATGGAGAAATTTTAAGTGAAACTTCATTTTATATTTGAAAAAATGAGGAAATCATTATATTCAAACTCTTCTGAGCCTCTTGGAGGCAAATAAACTAAGTAAGTTTTCTAAAATTGTTATACTCATTGTTATAGTATATTCTCTCTGCACTGACATCAATGAATCTTTACTCACTTCTAATGTTACACATCACTTTGAGTTATGGTTACATAATGTTAAAAAATATTAATTTCTTCAGAACAACAAAGTTTGCTTGCTCTTTGTCTTCACAATGTATTATTTGATGTCTCATTCTTGGCAATTTAAATCAAGATTTCTAAATCTTGTGGTAGGTGAGATTTTTCACAATTTAGATTTTCTAACCCCAGATCGCAAAACAAATCTAATTCTAACCTTAGTTTCATAAATCCAGTCCAGCTCTTGATCAATGGGGAAGATGTTTACTTAAAATAGAAACAAGGGCCCAAACATCTTGACTATGTTAAAAGACTACCCCAGTTTAAATGATCTTTTGAGATTCATGGAAAAGATGAGGATGCCTTATGGGATGGGTAGAAACAAGGGAAGGCCTTGAGTAGGATCACTAACCTGAGAAAAAGTTGATCTTCATGTTCTGTCAACAAAAATTGTCAACCTTTGAAACACTGTCATGCCTGCCTTAAGGAAATCAATCAGCACACTGTCACTGGGCTAGTACAGAAATGTGACTGTTGATATATGCCAGGGAAGATGGAAATTTGAAGCAGAAAATAAAAATAACTGTAACATCATTATATAAACTAATTTCCCCTGAGTTCCTACCATGAGAAAAGAAGGAAGTCCCTGTGGTTTATATACATATTCTGAGTCAGACTGGGTGCTTGAGGGATGTTTCTATTTGTGAAAATGTTGGCTTCCCTGTCAAAAAATACTTACAATATTTTAAAAAGCTTTATAAATAACAGGCCATCTGAATTAAAAAGTGAAAGTTAAAGAGATCTGTGATTTCCTACTCCTGAACAACAGTTCTTCGAAATACTGCAATGTGTAGTACGATGTGTGTGAGTATGTAAATAGCTATATGTATATAGGGAATTAGCATTGCAGTATGATTTTACTTGAAAGAGAGAAAAGAGAAGCTTTCAAATCTGGATTCTTTTTTAAGTGGTAACTATTAATAACATCAAGAACTCTTATAGATGATTTTTTTTCTTTAAAGAGTAACATGATCCATTAAAAAGTTGAAAATTAATCGCATCAAAGTCACATAAATAAGTTTTATTTTTACTTATTTTTTAAACAAGCAGAATTACTTGGTAATCACTTCATTCCCCCACTTTTTCCCTTTTTAATTTTTTTAATTTTATTTATTTATTTTTTTTGGAGACAGTCTTTCACTGTTACCTGGGCTGGATTGCAATGGCGCAATCTCGATTCACTGCAACCTCTGCCTCCCGAATTCAAGTGATTCTCCTGCCTCAGCCTCCCGCCACCATGCTTGGCTAATTTTTTTTTTTTTTTTTGTATTTTTTTAGTAGAGACGGGGTTTCACTGTGTTGGCCAGGCTGGTCTCGAACTCCTAACCTCAAGTAATCCACCCGCCTCAGCCTCCCAAAGTGCTGGGATTACAGGTGTGAGCTACTGTGCCCAGTCTTTTTTCTTTCTTTCACTCTTTTCGTTTTGTATCATGAACTTGCAGTGATCCTGCTCTGAAGGTTATCTATCCATCTACAATCTGTCTGTTGATTAGGAGTCAGGAACTGCACTCTGGTTCCTACCTCTATCATTTACCAGTCATATGATGATAAGCATAATACATTATCACTCTGAAACTCATTTTCCAAATATTTAAAATGTGAAATAATACTTTCCCTGTTTGTGCCAAGGTATACTGAAACTCATAAAAACGTAAGCTAAATTAATATATGTATATATTAGTTTTAGAAATAAATATTCTAAGTTTTAAGTCTTATGAAATTTTATACTACATACATTTTAAACATTTAATAAATATTTTCCACCAATGCCTTTAATTTCAGTTAATTAATATCAAATAGTAAATAGTAGGACACCTTCATGTATAAATTGACCTATTTAAATATTTAAATTGAGCTTTTTTCCTAGAATTTTTCTCTATATTTCTCCCTTCTCTCCCTTTGCTATTTGAACTATTCATATACATTTTATATTAGCCTAGTTAGGATAAATGGTGATTTTTCTATTCTTGTCTATTCAACAAAAGTAGAGCAAATTAATATTAATTAAATTCTCATCCTATTCTGCAGGACAAAGGGATTTTTAAAAGAAATTATTATGGTTGGCCTACTTATTTCACATTGTAAAATTTACTAAAGTTTATGGATGAATCAACACATGCTTCTTTTCTCTGTTTTTCTTTAAGTCTCCTTTCCCATAGCATATATGCCACTTTCATGACAGGGCCTTTTTGCGAGTCAAAGTGCATTCAGTTAAAGTCGCCCATGTCATGGCCCTCTGCATGCCTGGGGCTATGCTTTGTGTTCCATTCTCATTATTTTTAACAAGCAGTCAAAACAGTATTTGTCCACGGGGCCACACAAATGCCCCAGTACTTTAGGCACATCATATAGTTACTTTAGGCTTATCACACATTCTAAAACAGAAAGAAATTTTAGAGCATTTCTAAGACTCATCTAAGAACCTGTAGTGAGACTTTTTGTCATTTGCTGACAATCTTTCAAAGAATGTCAAATGAAAGCACATTTTAACAAAGCTAAAATTATGCCAGCAGGCTTATTTGTTTTATTTGAATTAGTTAAGCAGCTTTCAAGACAAATCAGAAATTTCTTGGAAGTTCATTAAGCTGCCCTAAGGGAGACACGACAAAATTATTCTTTGAATAAAGCACTACGTTTTAAAACAACACATTTGTCAAGATGGTCAGTTGAAGAGACCCTATTGCTAATATCTGATTTAAACTTGGTAAGGTCTCATTTTGATTTTATCTATTAATTTGTATTGTCCAAATAAACGTTTTTTATTTGTTTAGGCTGTGCTGTGCAGTATGATAGCCACTAACCACATGTGGCTATTAAAATTAAAATGGAATTAATTAAGCATTTAGTTCCTTAGTAGCACTAGCTACTAAGTACTTTCAAGGACTCTACAGCTACGTGTGACTGGTGGCTACTGCATTGTTCTCACACAGATTACCGTCCTTGCAGAAAATTCTGTTGTGAAGTGTTGCTTTAGAGAGAGACTGTCCACTCTGTTACTCAATTTATTATGTCAAGTGATAAGCCTCACACTTCTATAAGTACTTAAATGTCTTAAAGCATGTTCAAAAATCTTCTATGCAGGTATGTCTACTCCATACTAAGTGCTTATTCTTCCCAATTCTGCCCCTGTGATAATTATCATCCTCATATTATGACTGAAGAAATTAAAGGTCAAAAAGATTAAGCTGAAAGTAGCATGTCTGGTAAGAGGTAAGCATAAAACTGTGATCCATATCTATCTGACTCCTGAATATTTTTCCATTTCATCAGATAAGGAGATGTCATTGCAGGAACTTCACCCCAAAGTGCTCACTTAAAAATCATCTAAATTTTAGTTTTTTTGAGGAACCTCGAAACTGTTCTCCTTAGTGGTTGTACTAATTTACATTCCCACCAACAGTATTCAAGAGTTCCCTTCTTTCCAAATCCTTCTCTTTCTGTTTTCACTTCATATACTCAAACATATCTGCATTTCACTGAAATTTGCTCAAGAGGTTTGTAGCCTTCCATTCCTGAATGAATTTATAAATAAATATATCTTTACAATAGATCAGCATTAGTTGAGAAATTTTCCCATATTATATATCCTCCAGGTCAAAACCTTCAGATGATATATATCAGAATGTCTTATTTATATGTTTTGGGGCATATTTTTAACACTAGTTATTATATAGATCATAGTTTGGCAGAATATTTATAAAAGTGTGAAAATCCCCTGAACATATCTATCTGAAACATGCACATTAGTTATTTCATTAACATATATTTTCCAAGATCATTCAAGTGCATTGTACTATTTCACATACCCAAATCTGAGTTATCTATTTCTCTTTATATCATATAAGTAATTTAAAAGAATTGATCATTAACTTGATAAATGTGGCCCCTCTGCACATATTTTGAAGAATACCAAATATTCTATCTATTCTTCTCTCTAACTTCTCCATCCTAAGACCCAAATCAAGCCAGAGTAGGTTATTCAAATTAACTGATTGACTCTTTTTTGTTAAAAGGCTTACTTACCCTTTACAACAAATGAACACTCTGTTTTCAAATAATTGTAAAAAAATGAAAATATTTAACATTAACAGAATATTGACTAAAATTTAATCTCAATTTGATGATACAGGATATGCTAAAGACCTTGCCTTACCTTGAAATCCTCATGAAAAATATTTATCTATATATGTTCAGAAATGCTAGTAATAAATTAAATTGTTCTAGTCACCTCTCAAATAGATTTATTTGGCACCATATCAAATGGCAAGATAAAATTTGTGTATCTAAAGTAATCACTAGGAAAAATTGATAATCAGATTTATGGATTCATTCTTAATGATTTGCTTATATCAAGTTTTTGGCAGAAGCATGACTGGACAGATTAAAAGAATGAAGCTGGGCAAACTACTGATTTGTAAGTAGCAGGGCTGACCTTGTCTGATCCCTTTATAGATTAATGGAAACACAGCTGTTTGAAAATGAATATACATACCATGAAAATTCATAATCCACCTGTAATTGCAAAAACTGCATTGATGAATTTTCTCCACTATGCTTTAAATTACATAAATTTTGAAAAATTGGGGTGATGGCTTACTCAAAATTTGAAATACATTAATATCATTTTATTTTACTCTTTAAAAAATGAGATGATATCTTTAACAAAGTGATTTTAAAACGCACCTTAATTAGTTCGTAGTTTTGAACTCCGTTTATTCCTACGTCAGGATCAACAGCCGCTGGGAGAGTATATTTAGAGTTTATAGCCGAGTTCTCTGGAATTGATATGTTGATAACTGTTGCTGGGAACAATGGTGCATTATCATTTATATCTTCTATCAGAAAACGTATCTTAACCAGTCTAAATATTTCATCCGGCAAAATGGCAACCTCCACTTCATAAAAGCAATGCTCATCCCTTGGGATACCAGCACATAATTTCTCACGATCAATGCGAGCGCCAGTAGTGAAGATCTCACCAGTATCCTCTTCAATTCGAATCAGTGGCACATCTCCGGTCTTGTACACTAGCTTGAACTGCATAGCAGTTGTCAAGGACTTGTTTGGAATCAGCGACAAGTTAAGGTCTTTCAACAAGTCGCCTATCAGGACGTTTTCTGGCATTTCTTCTCGGATGGTGTAGTTTTTCTCCTGGGCGCCAGAGTGGAACACCACGCATGCTAGCAGGACCGCGAAAATGTACGTCCCGGACAACAAGTCCATACCAGGTACACTTGTTACAGTTTGTTGTATTAACCCGCACAACACTGACCAAAAGAAGAGGAGAGAGAGAAGAGGAAGAAGAAATTATTAAGAAGCCAACCCTAAACATGCATGTTAACAAAAACTGTTTTAAATTAAAATCAGTAAATGAGATGTTAGCATAATTGACACTCTGTTAATTAGTGATAAATTTGTTCTGAATCAAATATTATGAATTCGTACATTAAGAATAAAGATAAATGAAATAAGATACCTACAGTATCAAAAATGACACAGAGTACCTATAAAAGTGTCCACCATTGATAAATATATAAAAGATAATACTTTAATATACCAAGATAGTTAAAGAGAATACAAATAATTAAAATATTTAATTCAATAGTTAAGGGAAAATAAAGGGTATTTGTTACAAATCACAAAATATAATCATTATTCTTTGTTATAATATGGGTTTAAAATGCAATTATTCTCTTGGCAATGAATAATTTATACAGTAGTCCATTTCTTCAGCTCTGGGCATCAAAGTGAAAAAAAATTGATCTGGATAAAACGAGGCAAGGAATCATTATAAAGGAGGGACTAATAAAGTTTGATTTGAAGAAGAGAAGTTTGGGAGAGGAGAGGGGTTGATGTGACTAATGCCTAAACATGGTAACAACTATCATGTGAAAAGGGGATTAGAGGATTTTTCTTTGGATAAGAAAAACAAGAATAGCTATTAATATAAAGTACAAGTAAGCAACTTTCAGATTGACATAACTGCTTATTAAAGGATTCTGAAAAAAAAAAGTTTTCAGGATATTTCAGGAGTGTATTCCATATCTTTGGAGGTACTGGACCACCAGATTAGATCTACTATATTTGCTTTAGATATATGGATTTGGTAGATGACGTCCAAACATTCAATGGGAGAGTTAGACTAGAAGACATCCCAACCCTGAGAATTTATGTTTATAGAACGCAGAAGGTAGTTCATATAAAAATGGGTTTTCACATCTATAGACTAACAGGAATTATACAACTTCAAGGAACAGCTTGAGAAGGGCTTGAAAATAAGAAAGGCATTTAAAAACAGTACCGAGTTGAAAGTGAGTCAAAAATCAATCTCTCTTGCTACTTCTCCCTATTATTTTTCACTCACTGAAAGCTTTAAAATTATTTCAGTTCTTGAACTCTTCTGACAAAATTCAATGAGGAATTTTGATTTTCTTAAAATCTGCAAATTTTATCTTCAGTTTCCTTTCGTAATTCTCAATTCTTATTCTCTATTTTATTTATTCTCAAGTTTATATATTAAATATCTTTTAATCTCTAGTATAATTAAACATTCTAATGTGCTTCTTCTGGATAGTATTTGTAGATGATATATTATATAAACAAAATTAAATTTGTATCACACTGAGCTAAAGCCTATCAGATGTCATACTTTTATAATTAAATGAAGGTTAATGCAACTATTAAGGTATTTAGCAGTTTTGAAAACTCAGTGGTCAGATGGTTATTTAAAATTCCATTCCAGAAATGTATTAATGCATATAGGTATCCAGTTAAGGAATTTCTCAATATTTATTGGTAATCGATAACATCAACAAGTTTTAGTAATTGTTCTAAAAACAGGAGGACTACATATGATATAAATAACTTGTTATGGATATTGTGCTCTGGTTATGCCAAGCAATGTGTTATATGAAATAACTGTCCCATTGCATAGCTGCACATCCGCATTTTTTAAACTATGCATATGCCAATGTTGGAATACACAAAATTGGAAAAAAAGAAATCTTCCTATTTACAATCAATAATCAAATAAATGCATCTGTTGCAACAATCAAGATAGTTTAGGTCAGGAGTAGACTTAAAATATCTCATTAATTTTTATCACAACATTTTAAAAATATATACTATGAATTCAATGACTTTCCTATGTTAAGCAGTTGGTATCATACATAAAATATGTTAGTTATGATAGTGAGTAATGCTAGAGCTGAAGACATTATTTATCCTAGTAAACAACACAAAAACACTGTTGCCTGTGGTATAGTATTTTTAGCATCATTTGTACAATGATGTGCATTGGGATTACATAATATAAAAACTCGCTCAAAATTCAGTCTTGTGAATTTTTGGTTTTATACTCTGTTATGAAGGTGAGATTAAAAATACCCCATTGATACTACCAGCTAATATGCACACATATATGTATTCTATATGCTGTGAATCTAGCATATCTAAGAAGTTTTGGATGTTTATGTGATTTTATAAATGTCATGCAAACATAAGCAGAAATAAAAATGGGGCAGTGACAATTGGAATTAAAATTATCGCTCTATTCTTATCTTACCCTTAGGTATTACACATTATTACAACTGGCAGAAGAATACTACAGACTGTTTTTAAAAACATTGCAGGATATTCTGACTTATAAGTGGGAGCTAAATGATGAGAACTCATGGACATATACAGGGGAACAACACACACTGGGGCCTATTGGAGGTTGGAAGATGGGAGGAGGGAGAGGATCAGGAAAAATTAATGGGTACTAGGCTTAATACCTGGGTGACGAAATAATCTGTACAACAAACCCCCATGACACAGGTTTACTTACATAAACCTACACTTGTACCCCTGAACTCAGAATAAAAGTTAAATTAAAAAAAAATAAGATAAAACAACCTTGAATTCCTGGGATAACCCCCCAAAATGAAAAACAAAATAAAGCAAACTAAAGAAATAAAAGCATTGCATGCATGTCGCAATATCTCTACACAACATAATTAATAGAGCGATCTAGTTCCAAGAAGTCACCCTCCCTCAATCCATTCTAAATCTGTTCTACTCTATCTTTATTTTTAATTTTTTTAATTATACTTTAAGTTCTAGGGTACATGTGCACAACATGCAGGTTTGTTACATATGTATACATGTGCCATGTTGGTGTGCTGCACCCATTAACTCGTCATTTAACATTAGGTATATCTCCTAATGCTACCCTTCCCCCCTCCCCCCACCCCACAACAGGCCCCGATGTGTGATGTTCCCCACCCTGTGTCCAAGTGTTCTCATTGTTCAATTCCCACCTATGAGTGAGAATATGTGGTGTTTGGTTTTCTGTCCTTGCAATAGTTTGCTGAGAATGATGGTTTCCAGCTTCATCCTTGTCCTTAAAAAGGACATGAACTCATCCTTTTTTATGGCTGCATAGTATTCCATGGTGTATATGTGCCACATTTTCTTAATCCAGTCTATCATTGATGGACATTTGGGTTGGTTCCAAGTCTTTGCTATTGTGAATAGTGCCACAATAAACATACATGTGCGTGTGTCTTTATAGCAGCATGATTTATAATCCTTTGGGTATATACCCAGTAATGGGATGGCTGGGTCAAATGGTATTTCTAGTTCTAGATCCTTGAGGAATTGCCACACTGTCTTCCACAATACCATCATCATATAAAACATTTTAAAATGTGTTTCATAACTGGAAATTCATTCAGTGGTTTTAAAAACGGGGAAGAAATATTGAGAAAAAATACCATTTCTAAAGCTTAAGTGAATATATATGTTGCCAACCTAGAAGGAATATTCACCCTCTAGTTAATAAAGAGTTTGAGATGAAATGAACTCATGGAGGTTTAGCCACTTATTCAACAAATACTTATTAAGCAATTTTTATATGTCAAGCACAGTTCTAGACACTGAAGGTACATCAGTGAACAAAACAGAGTTTATATTTGATAATATATTCTAGTATGTCTTTAATTCAGTGTTCAATTACTGTATAATGAACTCATCTCTGCTTCTACCAGGATGTGAACATGCATGTTTAAGTAACCTCAATCTCCAGATTTTGATTTCAACTCTCACATTTGCCACTTGAAAATTTATTATCTTTAAAATTTATTAAGTTTTCTTTGAAAATGCTGAGTTTAATTCTTTGAATGAACAGTACAGAAATTTAGCTACTAAATACGGATATAAATAATCACTGCTTAGTCTTATGGAAGCATGGCACATTTAACTCAGATATCCAGGGAAAATATGCCTACATACGTATCTTAATGTATGTAAATTACATTCTAATTTTTCTGTCTCATGAAAAATGTGACAAGGTAACCTTAAATTTCTTTGCCCTTCTCCTACAACCCACTCCTACTATAGATTAATGTTAGTTTGGAAATTGATAAAGGAAACAACACAAAAGAAGATATAAAGAACTAAAATTTTTGACAAGTTCCAGTAGTGCCCATGCTATTTAAGTGATGCCCTTTATCAGCAAGACATCACAGTTGGGTAAGCAATAGTTGTATTTAGAGGGACACAATAATGACAATTAGAGAAAGCAAAAGCAGAAATAAAATAAGCATCTCTGAAAATTTAAAGATGTATAAAGCAAAAATGGAAGTTCATTTTATCATCTCTGAGTAGGTAAGGGAGCTAGGCATCTACTATATGCAATTCTAGAAATTTCAAACCACACAATTAATGTTCAAATGCTTTGTCAGAAGAATTTCAAGGCATAATTTCCTTGATATTTTTTAAATTTTTTCTTCATTATAGTGCTGGTTTCATTTGTAATATATTTAAATGAATTCTATGTGAATTACTGAATCATATGCTAGAACAACAAACACATGAGTGAATGGTTTATATGCTACAATTTTTGTACAATTTCTACAATAGTACAAATTTAAGTATTACATGAAGATAAGAAATATCTATCTGCTGCCCATTATCCTAACTCCACTTAAATCTCATCATTCCAATTATTTCAATGATTCATTAAGTCAAAAATACACCATTTAACAGCCATAATATATTAGGTGGTCACTACTGTTGTGTTCTTGGTCTCAAATACAAGCAAAGCTTCTTTCACAGCCTGGGTAAACAATAAGGTAGTTCTTGAGGTTGACAGGAATCTAGAACATTGCAATAAAAGTAACCACATTGGGAGAAAGACAAATTGGAGCAACCGATAAACCTAGTATTTTCAGAGGAACTGACCACAGCAAGCAGAGGCGGGCAAGGGCATTGGCTGTCCAATTTTATGTAATTATTTCCTGTGTATTCTGAAACTTGAGATGTCAAAATAAAAAATTTAATAAGGCACAGTAATTATAAGACTGGTTTGTTAAATTTTATTCCACAAACAGCTTGCTTACTGTGCTTATTGTACATGTCTAATTTTTCACATTTGGGTCTAAACTTCTCTGAGAAGTGGATTCCATCAATGCTGCTTCCTTCTCCAAATTGTTTATTGTTTGCTGATTCATTCTAGCATTCCAACAACAGTTAGTGTGGTGTTCTCTAACAGGGTTTCAAAATCTGATAATAATCAAGCTCAAATAGCACTTAATAAGACAAATTCTAAAGGTTGCTCTTCTATATTAATTTTTCTGGATTTTTGATATATGATTTAGGGAACATTTGAAACATGGCTTTACAGAATAATCAAGCAAGAGACTCATTCTTCATGGCAAAAATATAACGTTTGTCTATCATCACACATTCTTCTATTGCCTCAGGGTGAATGTAATATTGCTTGTTTCAGTATCTAATAATTATTTTACTGTACTTTGTCAACAAGTACCAGATTATCATAATAAATAAGTCCTAAATTCATCAAAGTTCAAAGGATAATTTCCACTTGGTGTAGTATTTGAATTGCTCTATGTGATTTCAAATCAGTTATTTCATTTAATCTGTATAACAACTATGTGATATATATACATATCTGTAGGCATTGCTTTATATATTAAATATTTTTTATCAAATAGGCATTAATTTCACATTCTGTAAATTCTCTAGATGATCACATTTTAAGAAGGTAACCAAAGGTCCCTCGTGTAAAGGAAAAGTGTTTGCAAAAGAAAAGAGAAAGAAACAGAAAGTGATGGGCTTGGAATCTATTATTCGTGGGTGAAATTATGGAGGTGGTATAGCATCACAAAATTAAAGAGATCAAGGGGTATGGAGAGGTGATGTTCAATAATGGAGGGTTCAGGCATGACAATTTTAGTCATTTGTTAACAAATGTGGTTTCTTCATATATATATAATTGTGGGTGTGTGTGTGTGTGTGTGTGTGTGTGTGTAATATATATATTTGTGTCTTCACTGGGTATTTGTTGAAAAGCCTATTTTGAGTTTTATATATAAGGATAAGTAGTACTTCCATTAGTCACTATTCCATGAATTAATAAAACAGTACACAAAACAGTATTATATCTATGAGTTTTATATATAAGGCTAAATAATACTTCTATTAGTCACTATTCCATGAATTAATAAAACAGTACAGGAAAACAGGTAGTAATATATCTATCATATTAGTGTTTAAATTATCTATGTAGAAAGACCAATTAATATTTTACTATTGATTGCACACCTCCCCAAACTTCAGTACTAATTGCAATATCTGCACAAAGCACTTTATCAGATTACTCCCCTATATACGTATGGTGCATATTCTAGCATGACTTAATTTATTTTTTGTGTTGGGGTCTAAATTATCAAATTACAATGCAGTAAAATCAACAGTTGAAAGCAAATGAGATATAGCACTAGAATCTTGGAAGTGATGGCTAAAAACAAGATCCAAGTTGATGGTCTGTAAAACAAATCAAGGTAAGATATTAGTCGTCAGAAAATGAATTATATCCATCAACTTATTGTTCCAAGGAACAGAGAAATGACTTTAATAGTTGCATTCATTCACCCCGTGAGACAATGAAGCTCTTCCTATTAAGACGACTTTGGAGTTGCACAATCCATAATCAGTAACTACACATCTTAGAACGCTAAGCAAAAATGACATAGCAACCTTTTAAAACCAATCTTACGACTTGGTTTATCAACTGCCTAATAACAGATGCCTCAGCCTAAAGGTTCAACAATATTCCTTCTCCTTTTAGTTCTCAGTTTTTTACACATATTTTAATATTATTTCTGTGATTTTTGTTTTGTGTCACCTCAAAACCAAAAAAATGGATAACCAATTAAAAATGACAACATTAATTAATAAATGAATAGAAAAACAACTGAACCATAAATGTGACACCCACAAGCCATATTTCGAATCTTCAGTTGTGATACACTTAGAGTAGAAAAAATGATAAAGAATTCTGCCTTTTGGCCGAAGCGGGCGGATCACGAGGTCAGGAGATCGAGACCATTCTGGCTAACATGGTGAAACCCCGTCTCTACTAAAAAATACAAAAAATTAGCCGGGCGTGGTGGCGGGCGCCTGTAGTCCCAGCTATGCGGGAGGCTGAGGCAGGAGAATGGCGTGAACCCGGGAGGCGGAGCTTGCAGTGAGCTGAGATCGCTCCACTGCACTCCAGCCTGGGTGACAGAGCGAGACTCCATCTCAAAAAAAAAAAAAAAAAGAATTCTGCCTTTTAAAATGGAATTTGCATTAATAAGTATAATCAAACACTACTTCATGGATAGAAAGAATAAATACCATTAAAATGGGATACTACCCAAAACAATTTACAGATTGTTATTCATATGAAACTACCAATGACACTCTTCACAGAAGTAGAAAAAAACTATGTTAAAATTCATATGGAACAAAAAAAGACCCCAAATAGTCAAGGCAATCCTAAGCAAAAAGAACGAAACATGAGGCATCACATTACCTGACTTCAAACTATACTACAGGGCTACAGTAACGGTACTGGTGCAGAAACAGACACATAGACGAATAGAACAGAATAGAGAGCCCAGATATAAGGCCACACACCTATAACCACGTGATCATCCACAAAGCTGAAGAAAACAAGCAATAGGGAAAAGACTCCTTACACAACAAATCGGGCTGGGACATCTGGGTAGCCATGTGCAGACAATTGAAACTGGACCCCTTTCTTACACCATGTACAAAAGTCAACTCAAAATGAATTAAATATCCATAAAACCCAAAACTATAAAACCTTGGAAGACAACCTAGGGAATTCCATCCTGGACAAAGGAAGTGGCAAAGATTTCATGATGAACATGCCAAAAACAATCACAACAAAAGCAAAATTGACAAATGGGATCTAATTAAATTTAAGAGCTTCTGCAGAGCAAAACAAACCATCAACAGAGTAAACAGACAGTCTACAGAATGGGAGAAAATATTTGCTAACTATGCATCTGACAAAGGTCTAATATCCAGCATTTATAAGGAACTTAAGTTTACAAGAAAAAAACAACCCCATGAACAAGTAGGCAAAGGACATGAGGAGACACTTTTCAAAAGAAGACTTACATGTGGCCAGCAAGCATATGAAAAAAAGCTCAATATCACTGATCATTAGAGAAATGCAAATCAAAATCTCAATGAGATATCATCTCACACTAGTCAGAATGGCTACTATTAACAAGTCAAAAATAACATATGCTGGCGAGGTTGCAGACAAAAGAGAATACTTTTACAATGTTGGTGGGAGTGTAAATTAGTTCAACTATAGTGGGAAGCAGCATAGTGATTCCTCAAAGAGGTAAAACTAGAACTACCATTTGACCAGTAATCCCATTACTGGGTAACTACCCAGAGGAATATAAATCATTTTACCATAAAGACACATGCACACAAATGTTCACTGCAGCACTATTCACAATAGTAAATACATAGAATCAACCTAAATGTCCATCAATAACAGACTGAATAAAGAAAATGTGGTACATATACATCATGGAATACTATGCAGCAATAAAAACTAAGGAGATCATGTCCTTTGCAAGACCATGGATGGAACTGGAGGCCATTATCCTCAGCAAACTAATGCAGGAACAGAAAACCAAATATTGAATGTTCTCATTTTTAAGTGGGATGTAAATGATGAGAACTGATAGACACAAAAAAAGGAACAACAGACTCTAGGGACTAATTGAGCATGGAGCGTGGGAGGAGGGAGAAGAGCAGAAAAAAAAAATTGCATACTAGTCTTAGTACCTGGGTGATGAAATAATTTGTATAGCAAACTCCTGTGGCATGAGTTTACCTATATAACAAACCCGCACATGCATACCTGAACCTAAAATAAAAGTTAAAGAAATAAAGTAAATATTTTTCCCATTAAAAAATAAGTAAAATGGAATTTGCATTTATAAGTTAAAATAAACCCTACTTCTTGTGTGTTCTTTACTTCACTATAAAAGCATGTACTGGGTTCAGCCTGGTTTTCAGGAAGGAATAGCATCTATAAGAGAAAATTCAAATGTATTTACAAGATGTTCTTACAAAGATAAGGTATAAATGATAGTGTTTGTATAATTTTTCCTTTCTCTTTCATCTAGGTAAATACATAAGAAAATGTTTTCTCTATTTAGCAATATTCTTCATACTTACAATGAGTTACTATTTCAACTGTGTCTTAATACATTTTAACTCCAAATATAAATGTAATATTAACCATTTAAACTTCAATTTGGGCATTCAAAATAACCTTGCTACATGTGAGAAAACTTAATTTTAGAGAAGGCCTGTTGGGTCCTGCTTCAAAAGTATTAGTATATTTGAAAGTGCAAAAAGATGAGCGGTAAAAATTAGACGTTTCTCAAGACAACTCCCTACGTAATACACAAAGATTGAGCTCTTCAAAAATAACAATTTAGATATAAAATTTATTCTCTATAAATATCAGTTTTAAATGTAAACAACTGTATAGATCCATAATATTTTATATTATGAATCTCAACTCAAAGCAAATGAATCATTCCAAATATATACCAACAATTTTAAGACATTATATTTAACTGAGCAGTTCATGGGCACTGTACCAAATACACAGTAAGTGCTTAAGAAATGCTTGCTGGAGGGAGGAGCCAAGATGGCCGAATAGGAACAGCTCCGGTCTACAGCTCCCAGCCTGAGCGACGCAGAAGACAGGTGATTTCTGCATTTCCATCTGAGGTACTGGGTTCATCTCACTAGGGAGTGCCACACAGTGGGCGCAGGTCAGTGGGTGCGCGCACCGTGCGCGAGCTGAAGCAGGGCGAGGCATTGCCTCACTTGGAAAGTGCAAGGGGTCAGGGAGTTCCCTTTCCTAATCAAAGAAAGGGGTGACGGACGGCACCTGGAAAATCGGGTCAATCCCACCCGAATACTGTGCTTTTCCGACGGGCTTAAAAAACGGCGCACCACGAGATTATATCCTGCACCTGGCTCGGAAGGTCCTACGCCCACGGAGTCTCGCTGATTGCTAGCACAGCAGTCTGAGATCAAACTGCAAGGTGGCAGCGAGGCTGGGGGAGGGGCACCCGCCATTGCCCAGGCTTCCTTAGGTAAACAAAGCAGCCCGGAAGCTCCAACTGGGTGGAGCCCACCACAGCTCAAGGAGGCCTGCTTGCCTCTGTAGGCTCCACCTCTGGGGGCAGGGCACAGACAAACAAAAAGACAGCAGTAACCTCTGCAGACTTAAATGTCCCTGTCTGACAGCTTTGAAGAGAGCAGTGGTTCTCCCAGTATGCAGTTGGAGATCTGAGAACACGCAGACTGCCTCCTCAAGTGGGTCCCTGACCCCTGACCCCCGAGCAGCCTAACTGGGAGGCACCCCCCAGCAGGGGCACACTGACACCTCACACTGCAGGGTACTCCGACAGACCTGCAGCTGAGGGTCCTGTCTGTTAGAAGGAAAACTAACAAACAGAAAGGACATCCACACCAAAAACCCATCTGTACATCACCATCATCAAAGACCAAAAGTAGATAAAACCACAAAGATGGGGAAAAAACAGAACAGAAAAACTGGAAATTCTAAAAAGCAGAGCGCCTCTCCTCCTCCAAAAGAACACAGCTCTTCACCAGCAACGGAACAAAGCTGAACAGAGAATGACTTTGACGAGCTGAGAGAAGATGGCTTCAGACGATCAAATTACTCTGAGCTACAGGAGGACATTCAAACCAAAGGCAAAGAAGTTGAAAACTTTGAAAAAAATTTAGAAGAATGTATAACTAGAATAACCAATACAGAGAAGTGCTTAAAGGAGCTGATGGAGCTGAAAACCAAGGCTCAAGAAATACGTGAAGAATGCAGAAGCCTCAGGAGCCGATGCGATCAACTGGAAGAAAGGGTATCAGCGATGGAAGATGAAATGAATGAAATGAAGTGAGAAGGGAAGTTTAGAGAAAAAAGAATAAAAAGAAACAAGCAAAGCCTCCAAGAAATATGGGACTATGTGAAAAGACCAAATCTACGTCTGATTGGTGTACCTGAAAGTGATGGGGAGAATGGAACCAAGTTGGAAAACACTCTGCAGGATATTATCCAGGAGAACTTCCCCAATCTAGCAAGGTAGGCCAACATTCAAATTCAGGAAATACAGAGAACGCCACAAAGATACTCCTCGAGAAGAGCAACTCCAAGACACATAATTGTCAGATTCATCAAAGTTGAAATGAAGGAAAAAATGTTAAGGGCAGCCAGAGAGAAAGGTCGGGTCACCCTCATAGGGAAGCCCATCAGACTAACAGCGGATCTCTCGGCAGAAACCCTACAAGCCAGAAGAGAGTGGGGGCCAATATTCAACATTCTTAAAGGAAAGAATTTTCAACCCAGAATTTCATATCCAGCCAAACTAAGCTTCATAAGTGAAGGAGAAATAAAATACTTTACAGACAAGCAAATGCTGAGAGATTTTGTCACCACCAGGCCTGCCCTAAAAGAGCTGCTGAAGGAAGCGCTAAATATGGAAAGGAACAACCGGTACCAGCCACTGCAAAATCATGCCAAAATGTAAAGACTATCGAGACTAGAAAAAAACTGCATCAACTAACAAGCAAAATAACCAGCTAACATCATAATGACAGGATCAAATTCACACATAATACTATTAACTTTAAATGTAAATGGACTAAATGCTCCAATTAAAAGACACAGACTGGCAAATTGGATAAAGAGTCAAGATCCATCAGTGTGCTGTATTCAGGAAGCCCATCCCACGTGCAGAGACACACATAGGCTCAAAATAAAAGGATAGAGGAAGATCTACCAAGCAAATGGAAAACAAAAAAAGGCAGGGATTGCAATCCTAGTCTCTGATAAAACAGACTTTAAACCAACAAAGATCAAAAGAGACAAAGAAGGCCATTCCATAATGGTAAAGGGATCAATTCAACAAGAAGAGCTAACTATCCTAAATATATATGCACCCAATACAGGAGCACCCAGATTCATAAAGCAAGTCCTGAGTGACCTACAAAGAGACTTAGACTCCGACACATTAATAATGGGAGACTTTAACACCCCACTGTCAACATTAGACAGATCAACTAGACAGAAAGTCAACAAGGATACCCAGGAATTGAACTCAGCTCTGCACCAAGCGGACCTAATAGACATCTACAGAACTCTCCACTCCAAATCAACAGAATATACATTTTTTTCAGCACCACACCACACCTATTCCAAAATTGACCACATACTTGGAAGTAAAGCTCTCCTCAGCAAATGTAAAAGAACAGAAATTATAACAAACTATCTCTCAGACCACAGTGCAATCAAACTAGAACTCAGGATTAAGAAACTCACTCAAAACCGCTCAACTACATGGAAACTGAACAACCTGCTCCTGAATGACTACTGGGTACATAACGAAATCAAGGCAGAAATAAAGATGTTCTTTGAAACCAATGAGAACAAAGACACAACGTACCAGAATCTCTGGGATGCATTCAAAGCAGTGTGTAGAGGGAAATTTATAGCACTAAATGCCCACAAGAGAAAGCAGGAAAGATCCAAAATTGACACCCTAGTATCATAATTAAAAGAACTAGAAAAGCAAGAGCAAACACATTCAAAAGCTAGCAGAAGGCAAGAAATAACTAAAATCAGAGCAGAACTGAAGGAAATAGAGACACAAAAAACCCTTCAAAAAATTAATGAATCCAGGAGCTGGTTTTTTGAAAGGATCAACAAAATTGATAGACTGCTAGCAAGACTAATAAAGAAAAAAAGAGAGAAGAATCAAATAGACGCAATAAAAAATGATAAAGGGGATATCACCACCGATCCACAGGAATACAAACTACCATCAGAGAATACTATAAACACCTCTGCGCAAATAAACTAGAAAATCTAGAAGAAATGGATAAATTCCTTGACACATACACTCTCCCAAGACTAAACCAGGAAGAAGTTGAATCTCTGAATAGACCAATAACAGGATCTGAAATTGTGGCAATAATCAATAGCTTACCAACCAAAAAGAGTCCAGGACCAGATGGATTCACAGCCGAATTCTACCAGAGGTACAAGGAGGAACTGGTACCATTCCTTCTGAAACTATTCCAATCAATAGAGAAAGAGAGAATCCTCCCTAGCTCATTTTATGAGGCCAGCATCATTCTGATACCAAAGCCTGGCAGAGACACAACCAAAAAAGAGAATTTTAGACCAATATCCTTGATGAACATTGATGCAAAAATCCTCAATAAAATAGTGGCAAAACAAATCCAGCAGCACATCAAAAAGCTTATCCACCATGATCAAGTGGGCTTCATCCCTGGGATGCAAGGCTGGTTCAATATACTCAAATCAATAAATGTAATCCAGCATATAAACAGAGCCAAAGACAAAAACCACATGATTATCTCAATAGATGCAGAAAAGGCCTTTGACAAAATTCAACAACCCTTCATGCTAAAAACTCTCAATAAATTAGGTATTGATGGGACGTATTTCAAAATAATAAGAGCTATCTATGACAAACCCACAGCCAATATCATACTGAATGGGCAAAAACTGGAAGCATTCCCTTTGAAAACGGGCACAAGACAGGGATGCCCTCTCTCACCACTCCTATTCAACATAGTGTTGGAAGTTCTGGCCAGGCCAATTAGGCAGGAGAAGGAAATAAAGGGTATTCAATTAGGAAAAGAGGAAGTCAAATTGTCCCTGTTTGCAGATGACATGATTGTATATCTAGAAAACCCCATTGTCTCAGCCCAAAATCTCCTTAAGCTGATAAACAACTTCAGCAAAGTCTCAGGATACAAAATCAATGTACAAAAATCACAAGCATTCTTATACACCAACAACAGACAAATAGAGAGCCAAATGATGAGTGAACTCCCATTCACAATTGCTTCACAGAGAATAAAATACCTAGGAATCCAACTTACAAGGGATGTGAAGGACCTCTTCAAGGAGAACTACAAACCACTGCTCAATGAAATAAAAGAGGATACAAACAAATGGAAGAACATTCCATGCTCATGGGTAGGAAGAATCAATATCGTGAAAATGGCCATACTGCCCAAGGTAACTTACAGATTCAATGCCATCCCCATCAAGCTACCAATGCCTTTCTTCACAGAATTGGAAAAAACTACTATAAAGTTCATATGGAACCAAAAAAGAGCCCGCATCGCCAAGTCAATCCTAAGCCAAAAGAACAAAGCTGGAGGCATCACACTACCAGACTTCAAACTATACTACAAGGCTACAGTAACCAAAACAGCATGGTACTGGTACCAAAACAGAGATATAGATCAATGGAACAGAACAGAGCCCTCAGAAATAACGCCGCATATCTACGACTATCTGATCTTTGACAAACTTGAGAAAAACAAGCAATGGGGAAAGGATTCCCTATCTAATAAATGGTGCTGGGAAAACTGGCTAGCCATATGTAGAAAGCTGAAACTGGATCCCTTCCTTACACCTTATATAAAAATCAATTCAAGATGGATTAAAGACTTAAACGTTAGACCTAAAACCATAAAAACGCTAGAAGAAAGCCTAGGCATTACCATTCAGGACATAGGCATGGGCAAGGACTTCATGTCTAAAACACCAAAAGCAATGGCAACAAAAGACAAAATTGACAAATGGGATCTAATTAAACTAAAGTGCTTCTGCACAGCAAAAGAAACTACCATCAGAGTGAACAGGCAACCTACAACATGGGAGAAAATTTTCGCAACCTACTCATCTGACAAAGGGCTAATATCCAGAATCTACGATGAACTCAAACAAATTTACAAGAAAAAAACAAACAACCCCATCAAAAAGTGGGCAAAGGACATGAACAGACACTTCTCAAAAGAAGACATTTATGCAGCCAAAAAACACATGAAAAAATGCTCATCATCACTGGCCATCAGAGAAATGCAAATCAAAACCACAATGAGATACCATCTCACACCAGTTAGAATGGCAATCATTAAAAAGTCAGGAAAGAACAGGTGCTGGAGAGGATGTGGAGAAATAGGAACACTTTTACACTGTTGGTGGGACTGTAAACTAGTTCAACCATTGTGGAAGTCAGTGTGGCGATTCCTCAGGGATCTAGAACTAGAAATACCATTTGACCCAGCCATCCCATTACTGGGTATATACCCAAAGGATTATAAATCATGCTGCTATAAAGACACATGCACACGTATGTTTATTGTGGCATTATTCACAATAGCAAAGACTTGGAACCAACCCAAATGTCCAACAATGATAGACTGGATTAAGAAAATGTGGCACATATACACCATGGAATACTATGCAGCCATAAAATATGATGAGTTCATGTCCTTTGTAGGGACATGGATGAAATTGGAAATCATCATTCTCAGTAAACTATCGCAAGAACAAAAAACCAAACACCACATATTCTCACTCATAGGTGGGAACTGAACAATGAGATCACATGGACACAGGAAGGGGAACATCACACTCTGGGGACTGTTGTGGGGTTGGGGGAGGGGGGAGGGATAGCATTGGGAGATATACCTAATGCTAGATGACGAGTTAGTGGGTGCAGCACACCAGCATGGCACATGTATACGTATGTAACTAACCTGCACAATGTGCACATGTACCCTAAAACTTAAAGTATAATAATAAAAAATAAAAATAAAAATAAAAATAAAAAAAAGAAAGGAAAAAAAAAAAGAAATGCTTGCTGGAGATTCGGGTCACCAATTCTTTTGTTTTAAACCTTTTCCTCCAAGAATATATGACTACAACAACCAGCAAAGACTTCAAGAAATAATCGGAGTGATTTATAATAACTTGGAGTATTCATTATTTTATGAATTCCATTTTATTCAAAAACCTAAAATTTTCTGGTAAGAGTATATTTTATGCATGATCTTCACCTGTAGTTATTTTCACTACAAATTATACTAAGTGGTTCTTAGGAAATCAGTTTTTCAAACTATTAGTAAGTAAAATATTTAAATTAATTTAACTAATCCTACATGTTTTCACAATATTTTTAGATTCCTCTTCTTTAAATTTTTTTTTCTGTTTCTCACTTAGGACAACCACAAACCCCACTCCAACTCATTAAGAAATGAAAAATGATTTATCATTAGCCTTCATTCAGCATATTCCATGCCTTCTCACCACAAGTAAAGAACAAGCCTTCAAAGGGGTAATATAATAGTATATTGGAAGAAGAATGAAATGCAACCCCACTTTTATTTATAAATCAAGAAGTGCATTAACCTCAAAACAATTCTAAGTAACCATCAAATGGGAAATCAAGAATATACAAGTTCTGCCTGTACAGAGTTGGATACAGTATTGCTTGCTGGACTAACAAACACTAGCCAACTTGTAATTGAGAAATATTCATGAGATGCTTTATTTGTATGTTTAAAATAATAATCTTTGTGTTTCACTGTGAACATATGCCCTTGTGTGCATTTATGTGCGTGCATGTGTAGACAGATCACTGTAAGGAAAACTGCCAATTGAAATGCCATCATACTAAACAATAGTTGAAATGCAAGTGGTGTGATCAGGGTTAATCTCACATTAAGGCAGCCCCAAAATAGAACTTTCATTGCCTTCCATACCAATACATTTTTTTTTTTTTTGAGATAGAGTCTCGCTCTGTCACCCAGGCTGGAGTGCAGTGGTGCGATTTTGGCTCACTGCAACCTCCCAGGTTCAAGAGATTCTCCTGCCTCAGCCTCCCGAGTAGCTGGGACTACAGGCTTGTGCCACCATGCCCGGCTAATTTTTTGTATTTTTTTTTTTAGTAGAGATGGGGTTTCACCATATTAGCCAGGATGGTTTTGATCTCCTGACCTCATGATCCACCGGCCTCAGCCTCCCAAAGTGCTGGGATTACAGGCGTGAGCCATCGTGCCCAGTCCACCAATGCAGTTTTAAGTGAGTAATACATTCAGATAAAAAAAAAAATTCTTCATGCATTTGCGGTTATTGTTATTTTTATTTAGCTATTGCACTGCTTATAAAAAACGTAATTTGATCTCACATTGGTTTAGAAAAAGAGATTACGAAAAAAGAAAATAAAGACACCATTCTTTTGATTAGGTACTAGAGGCTCCTATTACTTGGGAGACTTTTTGGTTTTTAGAATTATAACATACTCTGTAATGATTTCAGTTTGTCACAGAGTACAAAATATGTGAAAATGGCCAGTATTTCATTTTAAATTATGATTTCTTTATAGCTGATAAATGTAAAATATTTTCCTATTCCAGAAAATATTAGAAATGCTGAAATATTTTATATTTTCTTTTCAGAGATATCCAACTCCTTAATAGATATCATAGAAGAAGCTACAACAAACACAACTATTTTACACTTGCTAAAACTGGCACTCACTCTAGGAAATTGCGATCACAGGGTACATTAATTCTTTATATAACCTGTCAACCCTGGAAAATAAAGACCAGTGCTCTTCATGATGAAATTACTTTGCATCAGGACTTGATTTATAGATAGCACAAGAACAAAATTAGAAACGAAGGTGATTGATTATGCCTTGAAAAAAGAACTCTCTTTTCCATACAATAGTTATATTTAGACTATAAGCATCTAGAGCTGTGCAGTCCAATATAGTACCTCTTGCTGTGTGTAGCTGTTAAAATTAAATTTAAGTCAGATTAAAAATTCAATCCCTTAGTTGTACTAAGCACATTTTAAGTGCTCAATTGTCCAATAAGGCTAAGGACTTAAGCACTGGACAGCACAGATTTTAGAATATTTCTATTACGACAGAAAGTTCTGTTGGACAGTACTAATCTAGATCAGAAGGTCAGTAACCTTCAACTATGCCTGCACCCAGGACAGTGAAATGATGGCTAGAATATCCAATTCATAGGCAGGGGACAAAAAAGGTATAAAATTAAATAGTACAGTAAAATGTATTCTTGAATCATTTAGGAATGAGTAGTATTTTATGATTCTAAATTTTGAAACTATTAGGCAGTGAATATTTTTAAGATATTGGTAACTTGTTAACTCAAGAAGAAACAATCAAATCTCCCCTCATTTTAAGTTAGAAATCACACTGTTCCAGATCCTCTGAGAGAACAAAAATGCACAGTTTTATAGTTATGAGTAAATAGCATCTTAAAATAGAATTATTTCATAAAACATTATATGATCCCAATAAAACCTATGTGATATGCTATATAAATAAATGTACTGTATCTGAGACATAAAAATTATGAAGTGGTAATATACCAAAATAACTCTCCACTTGATAATCTTTAGTATATTGGGTAGGGTCGATAGGAGTTTGGAATACTCACCATGTTCTTCTCATTTATCACCATCATAATCCTTATACAGATAGTATGAAGAATATGATGCATGATAGAAATCATGAATCCTTCAAAAACCTCAAACAGAAAACTGAAGGGTATAGGGCAAATATCCTAATAGACAACTATGTAACTTCATCACTGTCTTGCTTTATGCAATATCAGAAATGCATGCACACTATAAATAAGTACCTGTGATACAGAATCATGCAATGCAAGCCACTGTTTTCTAACATAGCCAATTACCCTTTCACTCTTAATCCATCTCCAATGTCCCTCAGTCCACATTGCCTCATCCTTCCTTAAATATATGCTCAGAGCACTAATATACATTGGCTAACACAGTTCACAAATTTCCTCATATTTCTACTTTTGTGCAGACTTTCCCTTGACCTCCAAGTTCTCCACAGTGCTGGATACAGTCTTAATGAATACCACCGATTTAACACTTTTCGTATTATCATATATGTTTTATAAAGAAATAATATTTAATGAAGCCACAGACTCTGAGAGTTTTAAAAACGTAGAGAAAAAAGTTAAATAACTAGTAAAAGCCATTAAGCACTGAAATGGAAATAGAATCCTTCAATGTTCCCTATACAACATATAGTCTTGTTCCCAATCCCTTTCTTCCCTAAAAAATGAAAAGAAAAGGAATTCATTGCTATTTCTTATGAGTCAGCCCTTCTCCATTTTAATTTGTCTTTCCATTCTATTTGAACGGAATAAACAAATTGGGGCAATGTATGGAAGATCTTATATTCTAATATTTTAATTTTATGATAATTTTCAGAATTTATTACATAATTATACATAAAACAAACTTATATAGGCATTTTGCGTATTGGAGATTTTTTTTGGGGGGGTGTGGGGACTGAGTCTTGCTCTATTACCCAGGCTGGAGTGCAGTGGTGCAATCTTGGCTCACTGCAACCTCCGCCTCCCGGGTTCAAGTGATTCTCCTGCCTCAGCCTACCAAGTAGCTGGGATTACAGGCACCCACCATCATGCCCAGCTAATTTTTGTATTTTTGGTAGAGACGGGGCTTCACCATGTTGGCCAGGCTGGTCTCAAACTCCTGACCTCAGGTGATCCACCCACCTTGGCCTCCCAAAGTGCTGGGATATTTTTTTACCTTTCCCATATCCACTATATAATGTTGCTTAATTAGTTTTCATTTACATTTACTTATTCCTTTCCCATGTGTCAATATATTAACACGTCAACATGTCAAAATATGCTTTCTTACAGAGTAAGATATTACCTAATATTACTTTCAAACTAGCAATTAAGCCCACAGACTAAAACAAGCTAGAAAAAAATAGGACTTTTATTTCTGTGTTGTGTGCCACATTAATGAGAAAATGCAAAATCAATTTTGTTCACATAGTCATTACCAAGTATATGAAAAAATAATTAGTTGATAGCTCATTTTACCATTCTCACAGAAGACATTTCATAGAGACATTATTTAAATATACTTTCGGTTTGATTTTCTAGTTTTAAAAATAAATGAAAAATTTTTTCATACATAGAATGAACTGAAAGACTCCATAGAGATCATTTTTTTGCAATTGTCTTAATGAACAATATTGATGATTTCAGATAAACCATTCAGGGCTTCACATCCATTGTAGCAAGACCATTCATTTAAAGCTATTGCAAAATGTATATGATATGGAAATTGAGACAGTCATTAATTTCCAATACTAAAAAATGTTTTTATACCCTACTGAAAAAGTAAAGTCATAAAATGTTTTTATATCCAAATATAAACTATCCTGGCATTAAAAAATTTAAATTTTTTAAAGAAGTCCTAGCATGAGCTATGGAGTTAGATGGTCTTGTTTTATAATAAATCCAAGATCCACCACTCACTAGCTGTGTGACTTTATGCAAGTTATTTAAATTCTCTGTATCTTTGTGTAAAACAGGGTTAACAATTGTGTCTACCTTATAGTGTTATTGTGCACTAAATGAGTTAATATATGTAAAGTACTTAGAACAGTTCCTGGAACATTAATGTTACATGTGTTTGTAATTGTTGATATTGTTATTATAAACTAAAAAAAAATAATAAACAAAGGTATTTGTATATCCTGCACTCACAAAGACAAGTCTAATCCTGTGGGAAAAACTAACTGGACTTGAATTCTAGTATTAACTATGCCTTTAGGTATCTGTGACTTTGGACAAGTCATTTAGTCATTCTGTGCCTCATTTTACTCACTGAGGGTGAGTAGCGTTGGGATTTATCTCTAAGATCTTTTCTTGTTCTAGCCATCTGTGATTGAAAGAAGGTTTAATCATAAATACATAATCATTTGCATAATGGATCTCAATTATGAGCAATGCTACAGCTTTAAAAGATCTTACATCACAATTCCACATGCGAAGTCAAAATGTCTTTTCATCAAATGAATATTTCATATAATCTTCAGATTTAAAATTATGTTTATAAGGTTTAAAGACTGTGTGCTCTGTTTTAGGTAGTTAGTGATTTTATAATTGTTCCCAGCTTGGCAACAAATTTTTTTTCATGTAATTTAGATTAAAAAGCTTATTTTAAAAGACGAATGATTATATTCAGCTTTCAAGGTATGTTTGGTAATATTTTGGTAATAAAATTTTTTTTCAAAATTTTATAACCCTTCATAACATTTTTGAGAAAGACACATCCCAGTGACATTTATCTATAGATATTATGATTGGTTTTCAAACGCTTAAACTGAACAATGAATGTTTTTGATAAAACAGGGAACATGTTAACTTATTAGAAGATTTTAATTAATATTTAAATTTTTAAAGAACAAGTATAAATTAGGGAAAGTGGGGAGTTATTTTAATTGGATACGTGCAATATATCTTGAAACTCTGTAATCCAGCACTGTGTTGAAAATATTAAAGCAAACACCTCACAAAATCAAGTGCATTTTGAAACAGTATTTGCAACTAAAATATGTGAACTATGGCATCATGATTTTGTCCTGAAAATAATAAAAATTTGACATCTCTAAATTTGATGACTTTAAAATAAAAAAGATAATTAAAACCTGTTACAGCTGACAACAACATTGCACCTTCATAATTTTTCACTAAGTACAGCTGCTAATTTTCAAGAGGAACTGTTAAAGAGAGATTTCACGTAAGAACTGCTTCTCCTCTCTATTTTTATTCAGAAGAAAAGGGTTTTTTTAAAACAAAGCATTTCCAAATATATTATCTATCCAACCAGTACTTTTTTTGTGGTCTACTTCCACGTTTTTATGGTGTTGAAAAATAAGTATTCATTATTTTGATAAACATTATATATAACAACCAAACCAAACCGATAACAACAACAACAAAAACTGAAAGCAAAAAAACTATGTTTATTACCTTTCGAAATCTATAGAATCTAAACTCTGAGGCCTAGCATTCAAGGTCCTCAATTAGCTGCTTCTAAGAAATATCTTTCTCTTTAATTTATAATCCATGACCTCTCCTCTTCAGCCGAGCCAACATCTACTCTCTAGCCATAATATTTTCCACATCTTCTCTGGTCATCAAAGGTCATCATCTACTTCAGAGCAATTCAAAACTCATTTCCTCTAAGAAATTTTCAGATTAGCATCACATGGGGAAAATTTGAATAAGCATAAGAGTAACGATAAGGTTAAATGTAAGTGCTTACGGGATTTGTGGTTAAAATATGACAACTGAGGTGATGGCAGTCAGCAAGAAAAAGTCTTAGAGCAATCAGTTTTGTTTTTTTTAACTTTAAAATGGAAACAAATCTCATCAATATTCAATTAGCATATTCCATTACTCGTCAATTTTTCTTCCACTCCTTAAAAAGTACACAGAATATTGTTTTGAACTGAATGGGCTGAATGTCTTGTTGAATAAGAAATTTTCACCTTGGCTTAATTTGGCTTTACTACCTGAATGTTAATTTTTTGTATCTCCCCTCTACTATCTCAAGTTCTCTTAAAACCAAACCTGGTACAAATAACAGGTCTATAAAATGTGGTGTATATATAATGCCGCAATAAAGAATAAGATTATATTAAACTGTCAATGATTAAGCTACAGACTGTTTTATTCATGGCAGTTTGTAAATTTAAGTTGTTCCTAAATATGGAAATAATGTGATGAGTTATATTCCAACTACCTGCAAGGGACTTGAATAATTTGGGAAGAACTGCGAGGCACAAGGGGAAACTGGTAGGAGCAGAGGATATGGAAAAGACTGCAGAGAAAACTTGGAAAGGATGAAGGTATTAAAGAGAGAAAAGGGATGATTGAGAGGTAAGGAATGATTTTGAGCATTGAGACGAACTAACAAAATAAGAAGTACTCATAGAGTCTGAGCAACAAGCTGTTATGAAAACTTAACTGGGGAAAACTATGGTGACAACAAAGATGGAGAACTTAAAAACTGGGTAGAGACTTGGAAGAATTATAGACACACAAAGAGAACAGGGAGAAATCTGGGAAAACTAACAGAACTGAGAATGACTTCAATGAACGGAAAACTTGAAGGAATGAAAGGTAGAGGGAGAGGATGGGAAGATTTACTGGATCTGGGAGGTCCCAGGCACCATAAAGAGTGGATTTATGTACTTGGAGAGAATGATGGAAGTGACAGAGGAGTAATGGAGGGAATAGAAGGGAACAAGAAAAAGAATCATGTAAAAAGTTGTTTAAATCTTTTCTTCTCTAAAGCTTAAAATGTCTGAGAAATTTAACAGTGATTAGAACTTTTAAGAGATTTCTTCTTTGAGCAATGTCAAGGGGAACATATTTCAGTATCTTCTGCCACATGGACAAGAGAAACTGAGAATGAGTATTTGTGACAAATAATTTAAATATATTATTTTTAAGTGTATTACATTATTGGAGTATTGTGACAAAGTTGTGGGGGTGCACTGGAGTACACGCTAATCACTAAGTGGACAAACTTAAATGATTTTTGAATAAATCAAAACCTCCCAAGCAAGAAACTGAACACTACTTCTAAATTTGGTTTAATTAAATAGAATCCTAAACATTTTTTATTCATCTAAATGGAGATTTGGGGGGATAGCCTATTAGTTTATTAAATCAAATCATATTCCTACAAGTGCAATAAAGTCTATATATTTATTCATTAGAATACTCTCTTGTTTGTTAGTTTGGTGTCTATTTGTAAAGTATGTTCTGTACACCACGCATTGGAAATGCAAAACTGAGGAAGAACAGTCTCTCTACCTAGGGTGCTTGTAGTATTCAGAACAAGTATTTGTTCTGAAAATAGGCACTTCTGGAATTTTTCAGTACACTGATAACTCATGGTCCTAAAGACATCTTTGCACGATCCAGAGGGGCCTTTACAACTTCATTGTTTACCGTCAGTAAACTGTCAATTCTTTAGAAATTGTCAATCCACGGACAACATGTGTGGCCATCCAGGCCAATCCAGGTAAATTATGCTTACTATAATTTGTGGGATTTTTGTTGTTGTTGTTTTACATCTCTCCCTACATGATATCAGTATATTGGAATATAGACTTCCCCTTCCTCTCATCCAATCTCACTGTTAACATTTTAAACTCAAAACAAATCTTTTAAGAAAATGAAAGCTTCAAACATGAAAAATTGGAGTTCAGACAAAATTACTACTCCTGAAAAGACCCAGAGGAAAGGAGACGTATATGATATTTAATATATATGAAACTCACCTTGAAATATCTGAATTAAAACCCACTGTCGTTCAGTCCTCATAGTGCTCTGCAATCAGCTGTTGAGTGGGGGATAAAAAGAGGGAGGGGAAGAAAAAGGTCTTTGCCTCCAGTACATTGTAATCAGTTTAAACTTAAATGAAATAGATGCACTGAAAAGATAGGGCTTCAATAACCCAAATGCTGCACTAGATAGGAGGTTCCATGGCAGGACCTCAGAGTGCTGTTAGCAGCAAATCATCCAGGATTCTGAAATGTAGGCACAAAATACTTTTTGAATTAAAACTGGAGTGAAGTCTCTGCTATCCTTATTTGTCTGCTAATGAAAGCTTAAATAAAAACACCCTCCCCACCAACTGCTATTATTCCTTGGATCATTATAACAGTTTTATAAACCTAACACATAAAATTGATAATCTGCATAGGCTTATCAAACAGTAGACAGGATAGATTCAAAGTTTTATTTATATGGAATAGGTGTGATCCTAGCCCCATTGGCTAGTGGTATTTATTTCCTGACTGAGGAAAATGGTTATGCCTGCCTTGAACGGCAATCACATAATATACATCACTAAAAATGCTTGATTACCTACATATCTATTTCAAATTTTTCAGTTATGAACCTGATCTTAGCTATAATGCCTCTTGTTATCAATTCATACTCTCTTATGCGGCAATTTCTAATTCTTTAAGGAGGATAGCAAAACATTGTCTCACCCAAGCTTGTCAGCTTCTTCACAAGATTACAAAGTTGAGAGCAGCTGAGGCAAAACCTCTCCGGTATGTGATCTGTGGAATCCTTCTTATTCGCAACAGGATTTTCCTATGAGGGGTAAAACACTTTCAGTTGGCTTTCAAGAAACCACAAATCTAAATTAAACAAGTAGGCAACACATGACAGAGGGCCATCATTTTATGGCAGGATCCTCCAATTAGCTGTAATGGCTACAAATCAAGAATAGGTTAAATATTTCTGAATAATTTTAGATTTTGGGAAAAGGGAAGCAAAGAACATAAAGATTGTGTTTTATGATCTCATAAATCTCTCTTGGATTAAAAAACAAAAAATCCCTGATACTTTGGGAGGTAGGGTATACTGGAAGGTATTTCTTAGCTTTAACAGGGAATAAGCTATTAAAATTTTTGAAAAGCCAGCCTAGTCTGTTGTATTCTTATTCTAATTAAGCCAGACTTGTTAAAGCATTTAATGCATATTTATGTGGAAAATATGACATCTTCCTACCTACATGAATTATTTTGAGTTTTATATTATCGATGTTGCAAAAAGTATGGATTAAATGAAAAGTGATAATAATGATACTAATATAAATCTTCAACTTTGAGGGGTAATTGCTTGTATTATAAATGGCTATGAATCATACTTTTTATATGGGAAGTGGTAATCCTATGCCTTATTATTTGTTATTATGATCTCCCTCGAATTCCATAGACGTGTTTCTCTCATCCATTCCTCCAGCAAAAATTTCTAGAGCAGTACTATCCAATAGAACTTTCTGCAATGATAAAAATATTTTATTAAAATAATCTGCATGGTCCAATATGGTAGCCGCTTGTGCCTATTAACCACTTGAAATGTGGCTAGTGCGACTGAGGAATTAAATTCTTAATTTAATTTAATAAATTAAAATTTAAATACTCACATGTAGCTAGTAGCTACCATATTCAACAGCACAGTTCAGAGATACTTCACATTCTGTATTTTATTTGGAGTATGCATGAATTTACTTAAGGAAAATGTGTTTTGTTAAGATATTCCATCCTCTTCCATCCATTCATCCATCCAGTTGATCTGTACTTTTTAAGCACCCTCTGTGTATAAAGCACATGTTAAGTTTATGTAGTGGGGGAGATAACACAAGATTTGTAGAAGATAAATATTATACTAAATAGGCTAAGTGACAAAGGACAGAGCAAAGTGATATGATAGTACCGAAGAATGTGAATACTTTGAGGTAACGGAATTAAGAAGAGGTTCATGAAAGAAGTAGCTCTTTAAATGTTTTTGATAAATAGCTGGAAGATGTAGGAAGAAAGATTGGAAGAGTAAGAGATTGCAAGATAAAAAAGTCTAAAGTTTAATCTGGAATGTGGGTATAAGGAAGAGGAAATAGTCCAAAGCTTTTGAAGTGTGAATGACTGAAGAAGTTAGTGCCAAGAACAGATAAGGCAAAGACAGAAGAAGAATATGTTTTATAAGAAAATGTTGAGACTAAGTAATATAATTTACTTTAATCTGAGATTTTATAAGTTACTTAATTATAAAAGTTACTTGCGATAAACTTTAATTACAAATGAGCTGAAATTGTAGCCATTAAACAAACCTTATACGTTAATTATAATTTTACTAAAGATAAATATGATCAACGTGGAAATAAGATATGCTTAAAGAGACTTCTAGTAAAGGATGAGCATTAATCATCTATTTAACCTTCCATATTGGCTTCTATATTTAAAGACTAAAGTTTAAGACAGCTACCGTAAGTGCAGATAAACACAAACATACATGAATTTTCTCTTACTTTCTGTATACAATTATTTGGGCAGTGCCAGATAACCTAAATTTTATTATTTTTTTTCATGTCCCAGGGGAGTGCCTTAAATACTTCAGCCACTATTACATTTTTTATTAATCTAGAAGCAAAGATCAAAATACTTTGAGAAAGTAGATATCCTCATAATGTGATGTGGATAGCTAATCAAATGCCATAAATATAGAACCTTAGTGATAGATTTATCAATGACCAGATCCATCACACATTCCTCTCTTTTTTTTTTTTCTTGAGACAGAGTCTAGCTCTGTCGCCCAGGCTGGAGTGCAGTGGCATGATCTCGGCTCACTGCAACCTCCGTCTCCCGGGTTCAAGCAATTGTCCTGCCTCAGCCTCCTGAGTAGCTGGGATTACAGGCACCCGTCACCATGCCCAGCTAATTTTTGTATTTTTAGTTGAGACAGGGTTTCACCGTGTTGGCCAGGCTGGTCTCGAACTCCTGACCTCATGATTTGCCCGCCTTGGCCTCCCAAAGTGCTGGGATTACAAGCATGAGCCACTGCACCCAGCCACACATTCCTTTTGAATATACATTTATTAACAACTGTGAAATTTGAATAAAAGTTAATATTATCTACAGAGATCTTTGTTATTTTTGCTTTGCCTCTGTGGATTAATGTTTATTATTTTGACCAGAAAATCTTTCTTTGCAAACAAAGGAAGAATTGAATAATGTTTCCATAGTTTGAGTAAATAAATTTTAAATAAATAATCAGGTATTTAATACAAATACATAATCAGAAGAGTGGGAGATAGTTAGGGTTATATCTCTGCCTTTAATAAAGACCAGTCCAATAATGGGTTAAAGTTATTTTTCTAGCTGAACCTTCATCCCTGGATCGACAGAGCTAACAGATAAGGGTGTTATTTCTTTGAAAGTAATAATGAATTCCATAAATTTTATTGAAATAAGTGTTTTTTCCCATTAATGTTTATCATAAAAAATTTTTAATTGAAAAACTGTAACCCTTTATATTTAACATTTTGTGAATCAGTCAGATGCACTTCATGACTTAGGGGCTACAGCTATGTTAGTATTTTTTTCCTCCTAGAATGATTTATGAGGAACAAGAGGTCATGAACCTCTTTTGAACCTATGAATACACAGTTTGCTAACACATAGATTCTAAAATTCTGAAATTTCTGATTCTAATAAAATACCTCTATGAATTTGGCCACCCAATAGAATGTTGGTGGGTGAATTAAAATACTACTTCACCAATATTTCTCTCTCTCTCTCTCTCTCCCCCTCACAGACACACACACACAAAACCATCCTCATTAGTTGATTCAAGCTTATTGATATTAATTTGTCAATTCCAGTTGCTGCCTTAGTTATTGATTCTTCCTGTTGACCTTTATTTATTTTTAATTTTTTTAGAGACACGGTTTTCGCTTTGTCACCCCGGTTGAAGTGCAGTGGCACGATCATAGCTCACTACAGCCTCCAACTCCGGGGCTTGACCAATCCTCCTACCTCAGCCTCCCAACTAGGACTACAGGCACACATGAACAGACCTGGCTAATTTTTTTTTTTTTTTTTTTTTTTGTAGAGATGAGGTCTTTCTATGTTGCCCAGGCTGGTCTCCAACTCCTATTCTCAAGCCATCCTCCCATTTTGGCCTCCCAAAACACTGGAATTATGGGCTTTCAGCCACTGTGTCCAACCCCTGTTCACCTTTATATCGATATGGTTTATGGAGATATTTCTGTTAAAAGATAAACTACTTGAATTTTGTTCAACTTAGAGTTTTATTTCACAGCCTTTCCCTGATCCTTAGAATGCATACATCTATAAGACCACATCTTTGGCATTATTTATAATAGAAAAACTTTATCTTTATTCAGATTTTGCAGAAACTATGAGTAAAATGTCTACTTTCTGCTGTTGTGTACATTTTGCTATGTGATGGCGTAGATACAGTCAATAAGGGAAAACCACAAGGAATATCGACACTAGCCCCTGTCAATGGTAAGAAAGTTTCTGAAGATTTTTTTGTTGTTTTTCCTGCACTGACTAAGTATGGTCAAGTACCACATTCCAGTTTGCCTGTTATCCCTCCATCAGCGTAGGCCTAAGCTTAAACTCAAATTGTAACTTGCATACGCAAATTTAATTTGCATAGAAAAATTGAGTTTTTCAGTGAGACTAAAATTCCCATAACCAGGGTGTCTTATTAATTGAAAAGTGATAGGAAAACTCCCACAAATGAAGTAACTGTAATTTACACTCCTTGTGAGTTATCATCTTGAGAAAAGTTTCTTTTGTAGTTTCAGATTTCTGTGGACTACAATTTTTAAACAGGTGTACTGTGAAGAATATAAGAAATCTCCACTTAGAGAATTTAAGATGTCTAAGAGAATTGTCACAACCGTGAAAGGTGAGAAGCATCAAATGCCCTTTGTCCCCTTTTTAAAGAAACAACATTTTCTAGTGGATATCAAACTCTTTAAGTGGAGGTGTTTTAGCACACACAAGACATTCCTTCACTTTCATTTTTTTTTATTCTAGCAAGTTTTATTTTTGGCATACCTCAAGACAGGAAAAAAATGAGTATTTCTTGCCAATTTTCAAAAATTAGCAAATCCTTAAAATATTCATTATAAATAGATCAAAACATTCAGCCACATGCTATTACAAAGGCAGTCAATTTAAACCAAGTTTGACTAGCAAACTTTCTTCTCCCACACCCACTTTTACAGTCCTGCTGATCTCCCTACTTTATAGTCCCTTATTCACATAAAATATACTAGATTATTTAAGAAAAAAGTCCTAGGCACTTCACTTATCCAGTATCACCTTCATATTAACAAATATTATTTTCTTTTTATTTGAGGTGGGTAAGCATTCTATTTATTTGGCCCTATATCTTTTTTGTCCTAATCACTTATTTTAATTTGCAACAGGCTCTCACTCTGCCACCCAGGATAGAGTGCAGTGGTGCCACCATGGCTCACTGAAGCCTCTAACTCCTCAGCTCAAGTCATACTCCCACTTCAGTTTCCCCTGTAGCTGGAATTATAGGTGCACGTGTCACTGTGAGGAGCTAATTTAAAAAAAAAAATGTTTTTTGTAGAGACAGGGTCTCACTATGTTCCCCAGGCTGGTCTGGAACTCCTGAGCTCAAGCAAGCCCCCCTGCTTTGGCCTCCCAAAGTACGAGGATTACAGGTATGAGCCACCGTGCCTAGCCTAATCACTCATTTTAGTGTGAAACTACTCTAAATATATGAAACTGGTAAACACTATTGTGAATATGTTTCTATTCTAACATTAGAACCTTGGAATATTAGAAATTCCTTTTTGATATGTTACTACAAATACTGATTTTAAAAATACACGCATACACATACATGTATGCATGTATAATATATATGAGATATGCAATATCTAGATGAAAAGGGTCTAGTGTCTAGTTTAAAGAACGCCAGAAGATTGGATGATGAATTTCCCTTTAGGGAGAAACTGAATTCTGGATCTGAAACTTGTATGTTTTTTGTATATTTCTGTATCTTGAGGGACTAAAATGTTTCAAAATGGCTACTACATTTAAATATGTTGAAGTAAGGAATTTTTAAATAGATCACGTGAATAGAATTAGAAGTGGTTGTAGAAAGAAACTTAAATCTGATCATTATCCTTTACATTCACAAAAAAAGTCCTTTTTAGAATAAAGTGTGGTATATTCATTGTTCTTTAATATACCACAAAGGGAAAATGTAACTTCTAGGAGTCTTTTTGTCACTTCAGTTATCATAAATGGAAATGAGTATTTTTCCTGACCATTTTACTATAGGTTATATTTACCAGTTTTCCAAATTCTCTGATTATATCATGTTGAAAAATGAAAGAAGAACACTATTCTTGGATTTCTCTCTAAAACTGAGTAAAGTTCCTCTGGAAAATTATTCTTTCTAAGTAGGATGAAATAATATTTATTTGGCTGTCTTTTATCATGACATTTTATCACATGCCTATTATTATATGAACCATTTTTAAACTTTCATACTTAAATTACATAAATATCTAATGGTTCAAAACTAAAATGTTTGTAAATATACAATTTAACAATAAATAATTACACTTTGAACTATACCCTCTCTGACCTAATAAAGTGATCAGTTTAAAAATACAATACCACTTTTGTCATAAAAGCAAAGAAATCCACAACTTTTATACATGTTGATTGAATAGTCATTTGCAAATGATGAAGTAACATTTATTTAAAGTAGCATGTATTTAAAAATAGAATTTCCTCAGAAATACCAGATTCCTCAGAAAAGCCAATAAATACATTACTAAAGACTGTATAAACAAAAGTTAAAATTTTAATCTAATTAATTATATTTTAAACAGTCTTTATTTTTTTCTCACTTCCTCTCCGGTTAATTAAAAATGACCAGAACCACTTGAAATATAAAACTGCCACTTCATATTTTGTGGCATTATTGTAAATAAATCATATTCTCACTGACCAAAAAAAATTTCCATTAAAATGGCATATTTTAAGGATACAATATTCTTTTAATTAACTCGATGATTTTTTAAAATGTTTAATTTTGCTAAGAGTTTGAAAAGACTTTTTGGTAAAAAGAGAGAATGTATCATGTTAACATTGCTTAAGCTATTAAGAAACAATATTCTTTATTTGTAGACTACTGTTGCCAGCAACCCACCAATACAAGAAGCGTAAAACTTCCACAATTTAGCCAACAGTGGGGATTATCTCTATCCCTATGTGATTGAAAAAATGTGGGAAAATTCAGTTTTCTACTCAGGCTATTTGGATTCCTGCTGCCAAGATCATATACACACTAGCAAACTCCTGCAAGTCCTAATCCTATTAAAAATATATATAAAGGAAATACAGATCCATGTTTCTGCAAATTACTATGCTGACAAATACAGTGATTCACTAAGCAGCTGGGGTCATCTTAATACAATTTCCAAAGAATGTAATCAGTTATTAGAATAATAGTAGCTACCATTTATTGAATTCTTATTACATGCCAAGAACTGTGCTAAGTGCATTTAATACAGCAGTCTTATGATATATGCACTGTTATTGTGACTTCCGTTTACATATGAGGGAATTGAGACTCTAAAAGTTTCAATAACTTGCCCAAGGTCACAGACCTATTAAGGTATACAACTAAAATTTGAAAGAAGATTTATATGAGTCGAAAGCTTAAGCCCTTAGCTACTACACAGACTTTAAACAATACAAAATATGTTTATTTTTCACTTACACTAACATAAATAAAACTTAGTAAAGTTTTGGAATCAGAATCTAGATTGTAATTATTAAGGACATCACCCAAAAAAGAGCTCTTCTGTTTGAAATCCGAGTTTAGAAAAAAAAATGAAAAAGATAACTGATGGCAAATGGCTTTAATTTACCTTTTTCTCAGGAATCAAATTTTGCAAAATTTCTGATAATGGGATAAACAATTATACGGAGGCTTCATTCCGTATGTTTCTATAATCCATATTAAATTGCAGACACAATAAATCTGCAGAAACAAAAAATGCTAACATTTGATCCAAATGCCTATCTTATTAGAAAAATGCCTATTCATTCAATAAGTAATTGAATAGGAAAATAGATTTACTTGATGCTACATTTCATTGAAATTTATGTTGCATAATTGGGTAATTTGTACTGAGGCATTAATAGAACTGTGTTTCATTTTTCAGGAACTCATATTAACATTAAATCGGAAGTCTCAACTTTATAAACTGACTTTCATTTGATCTTAGCCAAAAGGCTGAGAAGTGATCAAATCTCACTTCGTCCAGAAGTATGCATTATTCATAAAGACTTCTCCAACACTAATTTTTACTTAAGACTAAGTAATTGTCCGGACAAATCTGCAGATGTGAGGAGAAATTCAGAAGATAGTTCCACTGATAATTATGATTTTCTCTGTTTCAGTACATCTGAACTGTGACCTTTGTTTACTGGTTGAAATAGATAAAATTACTGATATTTAACCAATTTTGACCTGAAAAATAGAAATTTCATGTAGTCCGACTTCATATATTCTATATAGATATTTAGTCAGACTTTCCACTAATATGCAATTCTCCATACAAATCACTACATCAATAAGTAAAGATTTATTCCAAATATCTGGGAAAAGCACAAAACTAAGTGTGCAGGAAAAATTATTTCATGCAGGTGGGCATTAATAAATATATGGAAATTATCAGAATGTGTGGGCCTTCTTAATAATGTAACTTTAATATGGGGTGAGGAGTAGGATGTTTAAATATGCAAAGATAAATTTCTTATTTGAGAGCTGTTAAAAGCACAGCAGACAAGACAACGTGTGGTGGTGAGAAGCAGGAAACAGGGGATCCAAAAAGGTGTATTTTAGTCAACAGAATTAATTGATCTAAATTATGTGCAGCATACTGTACTAGCATAGGTAACCGTAACTGTGAAGAAAAAATGACAAAAGACACACAAATATGAGCTGAGAGAGAATCCTTTTCTAGTATCTACATAAAGAAAATTGCCCAAATTTAATTTGAAAGATTTCCCCTGAGGGGGAACACAGATTGCCAACAACAACTTAGATAGACATGTTACTCCATCTTTCCTAATGTGTGCATGCAGATGCATGTGTATGATTGTCAGCATTGCTCCTTAAACATATAGAACGCTATGAAGGACAGGAAGAGTATCTGCCCCACTTGCCGTAAGGGCAGTTTCCTGAATTATTTCAGTGAAGCATTTTCTCTCGAGACCAATTCTTCAAGAAAGTGCATTGATAATGCATCAGTGTACTTTCAAATCAGTCAGGATTTTATTGTTTCATTTAAATAAAGTTATTTAATATATGTTGGCCTTTCAGACTCTTGCCTCTCCTAAGCATCTTTCACATATACTGTCATCTAAGTGTGACTGGGAGTCATATGTAACACCTGGAGGACTGATAACAAATGCCATTTTTAATACATTCTGAGAGCTTGATATTTGGAGTCTATGATGAATTCATTTACACAATGAAGAATCTTTCTGCAAAACAAATCATTAGTAATTAATACTGCATTCATATCATGTATAATTTCAGCTTTAATGTGAAAATATTTCTAGTTTTAAAATATGTAATTTATCTATATGAATTCACTTTGTGTATAAAGTGTTTTAAAGTGTTTATATCACTCCAAAAATATAACTTTCACTAATGAAAGAAAAGTTTACTTTATTCTGGAAAATCATGCTTGGCTATTTCCTTCCCCTTGAATATAATCAAAGGCAATCTACTACTTCCGTGCAAATGTTTTTCAAACAGTTTCTGTTGAAGAAATCTCCATTATTCAGGCACAATATGCAGCCGATGTTACCTTTTGTCTGCATTATGACTCAAGACCCTCTTTTTTGTTGACTAACAAAGGCAGAAAATGAATACTGCTGTTTAAAATCCTTTATGTTTCCTTTTAAATTCTTTTGAGTTGAATAAGTAACTTCCCTTCTTATTTAAATCATTTTACTTGAAGCCTAGATGGGATAATAAACTCTTTTTTTTTTTTTTTTTTTGAGGCAGGGTCTTGTTCTGTTGCCCAGGCTGGAGTGCAGTGGCATGATCATGGTTCACTGCAGCCTCCACCTCCCAGGCTCAAGTAATCCTCCCACCTCAGCCTCCAGAGTACCTTGGTCTACAGCCGCATGCCACCACACCCAGCTAATTTTTTTTACTTTTGGTAGAGATGAGGTTTCATCATGTTGCCCAGGCTGGTCTGGAAATCCTGGGCTCAAGCTCTCTGCCCCACTCCACCTCCCAAAATACTGGGATTACAGGCCCAGGGCGCCCAGCAATAAACCTTTTTTTAAAAAACAGCATTTCTATGTTTTAAGTAAAAATGAATAACTTTTGAATGTAAAATAAATATCCCTAATATTAAATGTAAGCCATCAAGTATCTTAACATGAATGATCAACTGAATATATTTATTATAGGGTTAATTTGCCTTTGGTTTTGCCTTTTTTCCAAAGTCAATGATAGCAGTAGAAAGGGTCTAAATTTTCAAAAGAAAGCAATTGCTACCTCACCTGCTAAATGGAAACAACCAAAACTAGGTACATGAACATTAAGTTAGACATAGAAAATCATTTTAATTACAGCAAAATAATCTATTATGTATCATGTTTGTTCCAAACGCTAAGAAAAAATATCCATAGTTTTCTGTGTTAATTTTGTCAGACAACATTTAGATATACAGTACATCAAAGCCTTATTCTCCTAGGCATATATCCTTTTACTGTGCATCTCCAAGACAATTGAGGGCTAAAGTCAGAGTATGGGGCAAGCAGTTGCCTTAAAGAGCCAAAGCACATATTCCTAATTGTACGTTTTGTTTTTACTTTTAGACAAAGAGATGCTTAAAAACAGAATAATAAAGGAGATTTTCAAACTGATTATTTTTTGACATAGATGCCTACTTGTAGAAGAATGGAAGTAGAAAACAGAGTGAACTGCAGTAAAATATTTAATCTTTCAACAACTTACTTTATGAAGAAAGAGTAGTGAAAATTCAATGGAAGAAGGAAAAAAGAGAGTAGAAGGAAAAGAGAAAGTGGAGAGAAAATGGAAGAGTGTGAAAAGTGTTATGTAAAAATATTTTCTTTTTGAGACAGAATCTCTCTCTGGCGCCCAGGCTGGAATGCAGTGGCGCGGTCTCGGCTCACTGCAACCTCCGCCTCCCGGGTTCAAGCGATTCTTGTGCCTCAGCCTCCCGAGTACGTGGGATTATAGGCGTGTGCCACCTCGCCCGGATGATTTTTGTATTTTTAATAGAGACGGCGTTATGCCATGTTGGCCAGGCTGATTTCGAACTCCTGGCCTCAAGCGATCCACTCACCTCGGCCTCCCAAAGTGCTGGGATCAATTACAGGCGGGAGCCACCGCAACCAGCCACAAAAACCTTAATGAGGTATCAGTTCAATCTCCCTACTATCAGTTCAATCTCCCTACTTATTTATTTACTTATGAACACATATCAGTGTTCAGTGTTTATGATAATTTATGAATATAAATGTTTAACATCTAGAGCCTCACACCTTTCAGTTCTACTCTGAATAATACATTTTTATTCAAGTTTTATCACTCACTTGCACAGTCAGACAAGTTGTTAAAGAGTCATTATTTTTATTTCACAACCAGGAAACTCAGTAGTTTTGCAGAAATTCATAGTAAATCAAGTGAAAGGCCAGAAATCTACTTTCTTTTGTGAATCTTTAAACAACCTTATCAAGCTCATTTATATCATATATCACATTATACCAAAAAAATGTGTTTTACTGTTCATAGCAAACAGTCTCTTAGTAATCATCTCACACTCACTCTTGTGAGCCTAGTACAATTCCTCAATAGACATGTGGTCTTTTACTTAACAGAATTAGGTATGTTTGTGATTTATTATTAATTGAAGGATAATAGAAATTTTATCTATAGATACACTTTTTTTAATGTCAGTGAAAAAAAAGATTTGTGTTTAGGAGGTCATGGATTTAGTTAAAACCTCTATTCAACTTTGTGGAATATCCTAAAATTTTAATTTCAATTATGCATGTATGAGTTTTTTCAAGAGATAATTCTGGAAAATAGAAAATATGGAGTAGGTAAAAAATAAGCTATTCAAAATCTCTGGTGAAGGGTAGGGTTTCATTAAGTATTAGCTGATGATATAAGGAAAACAGAATAAATGTGACCTAAGTCTTCATTTCTAAAAGTATGTTTTGAATATAAACATTTTATGATTTATTATATAATTTCAGAAATTATGTATATTATATATATTAAAGGAAGAAATAATCCACGTCTGAGTAAAATACATTCCAACAAGAAATGAGTTCTTACAACCTCACTGCTATGTAGTGGTAATATATCCTAACAGCAGGAAGACAACCTAAGTCCTACAAAAATAGGTTGTTTTCTGTGAAAAGTAGAATTTTCAAGTAACAAAGTGATACTGAATATTAGCAAGAGAAACATAATTTCTAAACATTATTAAAAACAAATTTCTATTTGTCTAGATCCACTTTGAAGGCCATTGTGTATCATATATTTGTAAAAGTATCTGTGTACTTATATTTTAAGAAAGTGATTCTACTGATTTTTTTTTTTTTTTGAGACAGAGTCTTACTTTGTTGCCCAGGCTGGAGTGCAGTGGCACAATCTCGGCTCACTGCAACCTCTGCCTCCCTGGTTCAAGTGATCCTCCTGCCTCAGCCTCCTGAGTAGCTGGGATTACAGGCGCCCGCCATCATGCCTGGTTAATTTTTGTATTTTTAGTAGAGATGGGGTTTCACCATGTTGGCCTGGTTGGTCTCGAACTCCTGACCTCAGGTGATCCACCTGCCTCGGCCTCCCAAAGTGCTGGGATTACAGGGGTGAGCCAACACGCCTGGCCTGTAACACTGTGTTTTAACCCCCGAGGGGAACACCGTTCTTGGAGGTACTGCAATACCAGGTCAATGTGTGGAGTGGACAGAGCATGCTCCTATTCCATCTCCCTGCTCCAAAAATCCATGTAATATATTGTCCTCGGACAGAGGATATATCAGATATTAAACTGATAGGAACAGATACTACACTCTATCTTAGCCAAAAGGCTGAGAAGTGATACTGATTCTTTTTTTTTTCAAGTTTTTAAAATATCAAGTTAAGAAAAAAAGCATAAAGCTTAGCTACTAGAATGAAAGTCTAGTTGGGCAAATTTCTACCATGCTGTTTCCTTGTCTGTACTTATCAAGCAAATGCATCTGTGTTCATCTATGTTTTTGTTTGTACTGCATTTGCATCATTATTGCATGATAATAGTTATGAAGAAAATAAATCCAAGAGAAGATATTTTAAATTTCGACTGACTTCTGATCAATATCTTTGACTCATAATATTCCATTCTGACTAAATACCCTAAGGATATGATTAAAGAATAAGGAATTGCTGCATTTTAATTGTCTTAAGTAGAAATATAGAGTGAGTTTTTTGGACAATAAGGCTAATGTCCACATAAAAATAAAACCAGCAGTTAATTTGGAAGAAAATCAGTTAAAATAATTGATTGATTCAACTAGATGTATTATGCAGATGGATTATAAATAAACTCAATTCTCCCTTTACGGTTCAAACAAATGTTATTTAGTTATTTAATGCTGAGAGACATTTTATCCCTCCAGTATTTATCTCAGTATTATGAGTCAGGATTTCTGAACAGAGACTAGAATTGAAAGTTCTTATTTTAACTTGAGATTGTCCAAGCAAATCCATTAAAAATCAAAACTGTACATGCCTCTAGATCAAATCTGTCAAATTTCTAATACAAGTGAAACAAAAATGCAATCATCTTTGATGAGAAAGATCACAAGCCATCTATAATTTTAATTTGCTTAAACTCATTATATAATCTACAACAAAAGTAGAATTATCAAAGGAGAAAATCTAGTTTTAAATTAGACACTTAAAGTGTGTGTGTTCACATTCACCAGGCTGTAACTGAATTGTTAACGACAGGCAATTTTATAGGTAGAATATTTCTCCTACAATTAAGCTGTCCAGAAGAAAGAAGAAAAACCTTAATATTCAGTTTAACTGATGTACTTTTATGTTTCCTCAAGGCACGGTGTTCTGCACTCCTAACACAGTTAATAAAGCTGAGAAATGGATATAATATGAAACATTTATCTAAAAAGAAATTGAAAAGTTTATGTGCATAGTAATTATTAATATAGTTAAATGATATTTCAAAATATAAACAAAAATACATTTATATTTCGCATTCTGGTTAAAAATCTGGACTGTGAAGTGAAAAAGATGTGAGTGTGATCCCTGATGGGGCCATTTACTGTCTTTGTACATTTAGGCAAGTCTCAATTTCTATATTCATACCATGGAAATAATTAGACTACCTCCTACTTCACAGAGGCACAGAAGTAGACATCTAAGATATAGATAACTAAGGATTAATTTGTACCAACTATATATATAATGATTATCCAGTATGCAAAATGTAATTATTTTGGTAAATTTGGCATTGGTATTTTAACCATAATCTTTGGTTCAAAATGAACTTGGGTTTTTCAGTTATTGTGAACTTGTTACTTTTAATAATCAGTTTATCAAGTCAGCTATATCTAGAAGAGATAAGAAAATGATATTGACAATTTTTCTGCCCTTTTAGTCCTTTAACAGTTTCCAACTTTACTTATTTGTCTTCAGTAGCTTCTGAATCAAGGATATTCTTTCTCATTGAATTTTTTCACCACATTACTAAAATTTCAAAATTTATCTATATAGTAGTTTCAAAATAGTTATGCAATTAAAAAAACTACACCTAAAATTTTCTCTGAAAATTAAAGACGTTCAAATTATTTCTTAAAAGAATTTACTCTAAAAATGTATACTATGCAGTAGGAATACATGGCTCTGGTAGAAAAGAACACAAAAAAATTAATAGACCAATAACTATGTTAGATCAAATGCTGTCTGTTCACAAGGAAAATCTTTTACATTTTGGAAAAAAAGATAGCTATGTAAGATAAATTTTCATTCAAACAAATATAACAAGACTAAAATATAACTGAGGTTGCTGGCTTTTATACTACTTCCTTGCACTTAACCAAACTTGTTAATTTATATTTTGAGAACAGCATGACCTTTAAAGGTATGTTTGCTGAAGAATAGTTTACAACTCCATTCCATTAATCTATTAAAAGTCTAATGTGTTAGACATTTTTAGCAATAGAGCAAACACCTTTAAAATATTTGAAATGGGGCAAATATTTATTTTTCTGTAAATAAGCAAAACATAAGTTCCATAAATTGGATGATTGGTATTGTTTATGGAACATTAAAACTTTACCTTAATGTATTTTGGGGTCTTAAGTCATAGGGACCTGCCACTAAAATTAAGATGACTATAAAACTGTTCTTACAGTATTTCTGCAAAACAAACTTCTTGGATTCAAGAGAGATCTAAGTTGCAGTAAAGTATTATAGTGATATTTCCGTAAAATTTAAAGTTTAAATTGTAGCATAAAACCTCATGTAGGAGACGTCCCTAACATTCAAGAAGGTAAATGTTATAACATATGTAACATTGCTTTATAAAATTTAAGTTTCATTCAGAAAATTAGTTAATGAGTTAGTATTTTTATGTCTTTAATTTGTTGAAAAAGAGTCACCATTTTACTATTTAACACACATTAGTTTGGTATTTACCATTCAAATCTATAACCAAAACTAGTTTTAACACTGGACTATTTTGGGCTATATGATCATTATACATGTGATTTAAAAAAATGTACATAAGCCCTTTTACTGTGGTGAAAGATGTGACAGGACAATATAGTGAAAAGCACACTGACCAAGCAGACCTAAATTCCATTTCAGACTGCCACTAAGTTGCTTTTGTGACCTTGGGCAAGTCACTTCAAAGGGAATGGAACCTTCTGGAAAACACACGTTAAGTCAGTAGGTGTAACTGTTCATAGCTCATAGTTAAACAGTATTTGTGTTTTAAGTTACTTCCAAAAAAGCACAAGTTATGCACAAAGACAAAAAAATATCAGAAATGACCTTCTGTATTAGTCTGTTTTCACATTGCTGATAAAGATATACCCAAGACTGGGCAATTTACAAAGGAAAGAGGTTTAATGGAGAACTCACAGTTCCACGTAGCTGGGGAAGCCTCACAATCATGGCAGATGGCAAGGAGGAGCCAGTCACATCTTATATAGATGGCAGCAGGCAAAGAAAGAGGTTGTGCAGAGAAACTCCCATTTTTAAAACCATCAGATATCATGAGACCCATTCACTATCATGAGAACAGCACAGAAAAACCCGCCCCTATGATTCAATCATCCCCAACCAGGTCCCTCCCACAACACGTGGGAATTATAGGAGCTACAAGCTGAGATTTGGGTGGGGACACAGAGCCAAACCATATCACCTTCCTAAGTAAAAACAGGAAAATCAAATAAACTAGAAATTCCAGGTTATTATAGAATGCCTAGGGACATGCATTTCACTACAATAATTCCTACTTTCTTCATTTGGAGCCACTAATAATGAGAACAGAATGAATACCCCAACAGCAAACAAGTATATTTTCATCAAAACATTGCTAGTCATGATTTACCTCAGTGTATTGCTAATTCAGTAGAATCTGAATATCTCATCACAATTTGTATTTTTTTCTGCAAAGAAATGTTATCCCTAACCTAGATTCTATATCTGAGAAACATTTCCTTTCTTTTCCTTCCTTTATTAAAAATCTCAAATCACTACATAATTCCTAGGTTAAATTATCTACCACCAGTAACTCAGTCTACATGGCAATGGTGAAAAGCTCATGGAATCTTAAGTTACTCCTAACTAAATTGACGATGACTTTAGGCAAGCCATTTAGCTAATCTGGACTAGCTCAATTCTTCATTTGAAAAACAGAAATGGACAAAAGAAAGGGAGGCTAAAAATGTCTGCTCCAGCTAATCCACAGGGTTGTTTGAAGTGTTAAATGGTTATATGTAAAGGCTTCTTTCAAGAAAACATTCACGAATAAATATCACCTTTATGTAGAACTGTAGTTTTAAGGAAACTTTACAAAAAGGATAGTGTTTTTCTTATATTCAGTGGCACTTCAGCACAATATGTGTCATCATTTATATTTTTAAGTCTACTAATTAACTCATGGTATTCACTAAAGAAACTAAACAGGGTTTGCTTCTCTAACAGCAAAATATATTTTTGTAACAGTTTCTAATAATCTAGTTCTTCCAATGGAAAACAAAGTATGAGCTCAGTGGATAAAACTATTCACCCCACATGGTTAACTACTATTACAGAACTCTATTACGGAAATGCTTGAATGTAATTCAAATAAAATTAGAAACTTGAAACCTACCAAAGTTCTGTGATCAAGCATTACCAGTACTTAGCCAGAGTAATACACCTTAGTGTATTATTAACAGTCTATATCTAAGCCAACCCATAGCCATAATTTTCCTTTTTGCTCCCAAATACTCTCCCTCTAGACCTATTATTTCAAATATTTTTATCTTCACAGAGAAGACAATCCCTTGAAGTTTGACTCTGGTTTCCGAAATTATTTGAAAATAGAACCAAATCCTAATTTTGTTTTCCAACTTAGTATTCCTTTCTTGTTCAATCTGATAACATCCTTATTTCCTAGTCCACTATTGACTACTGTATAATTGTATAGTTATGTTAATACATGTTTTAAATTACTAAAGCCAGGGATATTACAATAGTTTTGCCGAATAAGATTCAAAAAGTGCTCACTGAAACTTTGTAGTACAAATTTAAAACTCCTAAAAAAGTAAATATAATATATTCTAAATTGTTATTTAATATATATCCTTAATTATATTTGAACCTAATAAATTGGTGCATATATTAGCTGATAAAACAAATATTATTCCAGGGATAAGAACAAGGATCTATTATTGTCTCTGACACCTAAAAGGTATGTGATTTTAAGAATAGAAAAACTTGTCTTGCCTCTTTCCTCATATGTTAAAAATATATAATATATGCAATACCTGTTTCACAGAACTGTTGTGAGATTCAGATGAAAAAAAATCTGCCAGAGTACCCTAAAATGCAATGAAAGCAATTTAAAAGTGATAATGTAATTATTTACATAGTAAAATCTGTGATATTAGTGATATTGCTTTTAGTAGTTACTGCAAAGTGCTATTTCCAGTATTTTGTTTAGTTTTTGTGTTAAGTTTCATGATAAATCTGCTTTGATTTTTAGTTTACCTGTTTCAAAAACTTAGTAGTTTCAGTTACAACCAAAGCATGTTCTTGGGTGATCTATTAATGGGAAAACCCACAATTATTTTTGCTTCGATCTAATAGTTGCTATCATTGGCATAGGATATAAAAATATATAAAGTGTAATGATATTGTAAAGGAAATACTGTATATCATGTTCTCAAAGTGTCTTCCATTTCTCTGAATCATGATGCTTATTTGAGTTGTCAGTCCTTATCCTGGAACCTAATTGTAACTTAGAATTGTAATTTTTTTTCTAATGAATATAATTAATCCATTTCCTTTAAAGTTCTTACTAATTCTTTTGTGATCCTATCATATTATTAGCAATTGTAAGTACTTTAAGTACTTAGACATTTAGTATGTATTATACAGTATTGTCTTCTGGCTAATATTGCTCAACCTTCACTGCCATCTCTTTAAAATCTATTCTTCAAGTCTGTGATTTATGATTAAAATTTCATCCAGTTATGTAATATTTTCCTGTAATTAAACTCATTCTAAGATCTACTCAAATTGATTCTGAAGCTGGAAATATAAATGACTTAAAGTTATGAAACTGAATTGGAATACTCTGACATCATTATTTTGTTTAATATTTTGAACCATTCTAATATTTGCTGGATCAGGCCAAGAAATTATTTCATATTTTTTCCAGTTATGAGTCTGAGATAGTCTGATTTTTGACATGTATTTAATTACATATGATTTTTTATTTTAATGCCATTGTAAATTAACTCAATTGTTTCTCATTGTCTTAAAACATGAGGCCGGGCGCGGTGGCTCACGCCTGTAATCCCAGTACTTTGGGAGGCCGAGGTGGGCGGATCACGAGGTCAGGAGATCGAGAACACGGTGAAACCCCCTCTCTACTAAAAATACAAAAAGTTAGCCAGGCGCGGTGGCGGGCGCCTGTAGTCCCAGCTACTCGGGAGGCTGAGGCAGGAGAATGGCGTGAACCCGGGAGGCGGAGCTTGCAGTGAGCCGAGATTGCGCCACTGCACTCCAGCCTGGGCGACAGAGCGAGACTCCGTCTCAAAAAAAAAAAAAAAAAAAAAATGTACTGATCGTGTTCATAGAACTGATATTTCTATTTACCATAGAGTAAGTTTTCTTCTCTATTCTTTGATAATAGAGTATGAAGATGTTTTGCTATCTGTTTATTTTGTCTTGATTCTTATATTTCTTTTCCTTTTTGTATATTTTGGATTTTCCCTCTCAAAAAAAAAAAAACCCTAAAAAGATATAGGGTATTTTGGCTGCTATACGTGCCCCATTAGGTACATGGAAACAGTCTATGCTTAAATGGTATGGTTTGGATTCGGGTCCCTACCCAAATCTCATGTCCAGTTTTAATCCCCAGTGTTGAAGGAGGGGCCTGGTGGAAGGTGATAGGATCATGGGGGTGGATTTTCCCCTTGCTGTTCTTGTGATAGTGAGTGAGTTCTCACGAGTTCTGGTTGTTTAAAAGTGTGTGGCACCTGCACCTGCTCCGTCTTCCTCCTGCTTTGGCCATATAAGACGTGACTCCTTCCTCTTAGCCTTCTGCCATGATTGTAAGTTTCCTGAGGCCTCCCCTAGCCATGCTTCCTATACAGCCTGTAGAACTGTGAGTCAGTTAAACCTTTTTTCTTTATAAATTACCCAGTCTCAGGTAGTTCTTTATAGCAATGCAAGAACAGACCAATACAGAAAACTGTTAGCAAGATTGGGGTTCATACCCACATGGGCACTAGCTTAACATTATTAAGTAATGTTAAGAGTAATGAAATCCAAGGCAATTTTGGCAGACACTCAAGTTCATTTAGCACTTACAAGAACATTTTAATCCAATTGGCCCTTTATCTCACTGAGATCCTCAAATTATTACCACTAAACAGACTTTGCTGTTCCTGTAAGTATCAGAGCTTAGAAAAGACTAGTACAGTTTCATCGGGAAGGTGATGGCTTCTGAATCTCAATGGTACAATTAAGACATGAATTCCAACGCTGAAGTGAAAACTTTCAGTTGTTTTCCTAACCCTGCTAGAACTATACCGTGTCTCCTAGCAAGCACAATTTAAACATTTACACTTATTTCAATGGTTGCTTTCAATGTCATTTGTTTTAACTTGATACTGTTTCTGAGCTGCACATAAAGAAATGAGAACTATGAAAGTTTTCCTAAACTAATAATGAATGAAAGTTTCACTTAGATTAAGTGACTATTCGGCTGTATTCTAAGATAAAAGTCTAGTTGTGAGGAAAGTGGTTAGCATGGTGTCTAATTTACCATTTGTTCCCACTTTGAGGACTTTTATTTTGAGACAGCAAATACAAAATAATCTCTACCAAGTGTCTTTCGTTGTTGCTGTTGTTGTTCTGCAAAATGTGTGTACTAATAAGAAAATAAAAAGAAGTTTTTCAAATTAGGTAAATGAAAATCTAATTGGATATTCTACTCTAAAATCTGAATGATTAGCTGATATGTTCAATTCTGATATTTTACAAACCAATATCTTTAGGGGTCTATACTATACTAAGACTTCTCAGAACTTTTGGATTTCTTTAAAAAGATTTTAAGATACTGGTACACCGTTGACACTGTATGATGAATGGTTTTCATTTTTGAAATGGTATAATCGTATGTACAAACTGTCCATGAAATAGATTTGACTGCAAAATGGACAAGCAACTGGTTGTTATTCTGAACTACAGTTTCAACCAATATAGTCACACAAAAGGTTAAAATCAAATTTAACCTCTAAATGCAAATAATTGTAAATCTAGTTGAATTTAAAACTTTCATCCATTGCACATACCTAAATTGTTTCTTTTTTCTTTTAAGAAATCCTGTTACCCTTGGCTTACTTCATCTTTATCATGCTTGTTTACCAGACTATGGATCAGCGCCTTTTGGATAACTGTAGTTTGAGGGGCAGCAGCTTCCATGTGTACAGGGAGCTTGTTAGAAATGCAGAATTTCAGCCTCACCTAGAATCTACTGAATCAGAATCTGCATTTTAACATTTCTAGATGATCTGTCTGCACATTATAGTTTGAGAAGCACAGGAATAGAATGTAATTTCCTAGAAACTGGAGTTTAAAATAACAAGTCGTTAGCAGTGATGCTGATTGATTAGTAATTGTATATTGGTTCTATTTCTTTCTAAAGTGTTTTGATTCTGTTATATATGCCAGCTATCCAATTTTTGAACATTAGCCTTATATTCCCATATCTGTTTACTCCTGTATGCAGTTCTGAGGCATTCAGAATGTCTGTGACTTTCAGTGAATTCAAATGCTCTTTCTTAAGTAATCCTGCTTTGCACTCATGGCCATTATAAAATGGCCAGCACATATTGTAACTGCTTTATTTTATGGATGCTAAAACTGAATTCATGGACTAAGAAAGGCTGCAGACAAGGAAAGCTTTAAGAACTGTGGAGGCAGACTGAAGGGTAAAACGTCACTGACAAACTGAGCAAATTCTTTCCCGATCTAAAAAGAAAGGCAAAGGAAATTCTGCCTGAGGAGCTCTCATGTAAAGGTTTTGTCCTGTTTGTGTGTTTGGTGTGTGTATTACCTATTCTTAAGCCTCTCTTTAAAAAAATTTAATGTATTCATGTTTTGGAAGATTTTGATTCTCACAACCTAGCAAACAACCATCAAATAACAATTAAGGTATTCTTTTTTCTTTTTCTTTTTCTTTTCTTTTTTTTTTTTTTTTTTTTTTTGAGACGGAGTCCTGCTCTGTTGCCAGGCTGGAGTGTAGTGGCGCGATCTCGGCTCACTGCAATCTCCGCCTCGCGGGTTCAAGGGATTCTCCTGCCTCAGCCTCCCGAGTAGCTGGGAGTACAGGCGCGCAGCAAGACGCCCAGCTAATTTTTGTAATTTTTTTTAGTAGAGACGGGGTTTCACCATGTTGGCCACGATGGCCTCGATCTCTTGACCTCGTGATCTGCCCGCCTCAGCCTCCCAAAGTGCTGGGATTACAGGCGTGAGCCGCTGCGACCAGCCAACACTTAAGGTATTCTAAATATATAATATGAGAAGTAAAAGAGAGAAGCTATCCAAGGCAGTTTCAAAAAGCTTGCATATTTCACACTGAAGAGAAAATCAGGCCCTATCATCCAACGCTCTGGTAGTTCTCTTTCTTCTCTATTTGATTTCCTTTCTCCTCCCCTCTTCCTCTGTCACAAAGTAAAATAAAGCAGTCTACGATTACTCAGGAAAGAAGGGAAAGCTTTGCTTTGGCATAATTTTCCTGCCTACCTTTGCCTGACCCATACTCCCTAACAAACGCACATATGCCCTGGCATAGAGAATGAGATTATGTAGCAATCATCAAATTTTAGAGAATGCACTCAAAATCTTCCCCAGATTATATTTAAAACTTAAAGGAAATGTGTACTTAACTATTTAGAGTAAATATGCATTTATAAAAATAAAACCATCCTTCCAGGAATGTATATTTCTAGCCATTTTAAGTAAATGGGCTTTTCCAGTCATTTTTTAAAAAAAATAAAATACTTAATGCATTGATACTTGAATCCATTCACTTGTTTTCCATATCAAAACATCACTTTTTATGTTTTATAACATAATATGCACAATACAGGTGCTTTTAATAATCTCTATTCAATACAAAATGTGGGAAACAGTATTTTCTAGATCTGAGTCAGAGTGGGAAATTGTTTACTGCAACAAAAAACAAACAAGTTTTGGATACATTTAACTTTCTGATAAGATACTATTATTAAATTTGAGCAAAGGTAATTAAAAAGCCCTACATGATGGTGTTTTAAAATTCTAAACACATTGGAAAGCAGGGAACAAGTATGTTTGTGGAATAAATTAATTCATGCTATCACCCAATACCTTACATGAACTCCTGTAGCACTCATATCTCATCCCTGAGCCTTCCTTTTCTTATCTGTAAAATGAAGGGTTTGGACTAAATTATCTTTCTGGTCCCTTCCACTCTCAGAGTCTATAAAACCTGCACTATACTTGGTGTACTGTAATGTAGAGTGACAACGAATATTTGTTGAATTCAATTTAATGTGACTATATATTACTTTGTTGTTGTTGTTGTTCATTGTTTTAGCCCTATTAGAATATAAGCTTTTCAAAGACAGAACTCTCCAAAATTTCTTTAAGGGCCACCCTTAACATTTAAAGTATTGCAATGCTGGACAAGCCATAGGTTTTTAGTTATTGATGGTTAATGAATCAATACAGTCAAATTGATAATACGTGCAGAGCCAAGGGACAAGGAAAGAATGTCCTAGACGTCTACTGCTTTTTGTAAAATATCACAGGATTTTTTTTCCCTTTGCAAAGGGCCTTGAAATAACTTACAATTCCTTCATTTTACTTTTGGGGAAATTGAAGTCCAGGGAGGTGAAGGTTTTTGCCCAAGGTCACTCTCTAGACACTAATAAAACATAAATCATAAAAGACCTTGTGTTCACACAATTTAAATAAACCCCTGCTCTCACTGTACCTGAAACGAGTTTGTAATCTGAAGACAACAAACAATGATTTGAATTTTGGGGGCTTAATATCCTTTCGGTTGATATGATACAAACCCACACTCAACTGATTATCAAAGATATGTTGCTTCCAAAATGTCGTGTCAGGAAAAAAAACACTACCTAAAAATCATTGGCAAACATCCCCTAAAATAAATCTTATGTAAAAATACAGGTGTTCTAAAAAAATGACAGTAGGATAGTAGGATATAGGACTAAACATTTGCTACATTAAGTAAACTCAAACTTTAGGGACTGTCATTATGATGGGTCATAATTTAAATTATTTTTGTAAACAAAATGGAAGAAGCATATAAGCATGTACTGTTAACATTTCAATAGTTCTACCATTTTATTTAATATCATATAATGTTTACAAAGCTTAGTGCAAAAAGACACTAAATAGGAGAATATAATGCTAGTAGAAAATTAACTGAAAAAGTTATTTTAATATATTTGAATATACTTGTCTTTGAAATTTTTATTTTTTAATCCAAGACACATTATATATTTTTGCTTTTTACATTCAGAACTTTGACAACATATACTCAAAGATAAAAGAGAGGCAAGAAGGGATGTTGGGAAAAGACCTGGCTTGGAGACTAAAGACCATCAATCCTCTTGAAGCTTCCCCTCTTAATTCTGGAAATTCTTAGGGAGCTGATTTCATCAGCGGGAACTTCAGTCTCCCCATTGACAAAATGGGTATAACCATGCCTTCTTTTTCTACTCAAAAAATTTTTATGATCCTAATATAACTTTTTAAATGATATAAAAATATAAAATACTATACATATTGAAGGAGTTAAAGAATGAATCAAAATAAAGGTGACAGAAAACAATCTTTTAATTTCATTTTATGTGATGATAGTAACTGAATTATATAATTAGCTAAAATCTCAATTTGCACTCTAATCACTTAAGGATTTTTAAAAGAAATGAATTTTCCTTTAGTTTAATTAAAATCCATCAGCAAATTAATTTTATCATTGTCATGCTAAAAGTTATATTAGATTATTAAAACAGTTTTTATTGAACAGAGAAATATATTCTTCCGGAATTTATTCTCTCCTTTCATTTATCTTTCCTCCTATTTACCCAAATCTACACGTTCAAGATGAGCAGATTAGGTGTACAAAAATCATTCTTTCAGATTTGGGCTGGAAACAAAAATTGTAGCCACTGATGTTCTTTGTCTTAAAATGTATTATATTAATCCAGTGCATAACACATTAGAGACAATTAAAAGGGCAGTTTAAATCCTTGAACAGTTGAGGATTTTTAGATTGCAAAAAGATAACAGGTACATCTATAATTTCTGGCAAGCTACTCCTCAAATTCAAAACAGTAATTGAAAAATACTCTTTTTCCCATGTTTTGGTGCTGTTTGATAATGAGAATGCAGTGTTTCTCCAGATGTAACTGAAGATCAAAAGACAGTTTCACCCTAAAATAGTTTTCTCTATCTGATAAACTTTTATTTTACAATTAACCTTGCATAGAGAATAAATCTTAAGGGACCATGACACATAGGTCATTTGATGTTTTCTCCTAACAAAAGATAACCACATTTTAGAGATGATGCCTTCGTGAAGAACTTCTATTGAAAAATAACACCATTTCAAATATGACCAATTTGAACATAGCAAGCCAGTTTGGAACATCAAGACATCTTACCTAGTTTTCTTCATTCTGGACACTGAATGATCAATAAAGTCTTCAAATAATAGAACTCTGCTCAGACAATGACATGTAATTTGGAATGTTGTCATATAAAGCCAATCCAATTAAATGTTCCAAAGTATTTTATTTTTCCCAAAGGTAATATGTATATATGTCTTTGATGAAAAATGTATTTTTACAGCGTACTCTTTCTTCCCTTCCCAATTCCCAGCGATGTTGAATCAATTCCACTGAATGTAGAGAGAAGAACGATATGAGAATTGCACCTTTACCATACACACAGAAAAAGAATTTTCTAAGAGTGCAGTTAAAATAAAACAAACAGGGGTTCCTTTGCCTCTGAAGATTGGTAACTGTATGTTGACATGAACACACGTTGACACAGGCTTTAAAATCCTGTGTGTGGGATGAGGGGGTCTGCTGAGGGGGGTCCCTTCTCAAAATATTTAAACTTGAGCCGCTATACCAATCCCACAAAGCAAAAAGAAAAAAAGGAGGAGGGGGGGAGGAGGGAATAAAAATAAGAAAGAATTTCACTGAAAATATAAAAGGAATTACCCATGGGAAGAGAATACAGCAGAAAGGATGGGATGCAGCGAAACAGTGTCAGGAGTGTGTCAGTGAGAACTTCAGAAAGGTTGGAAATACTCCCCAAAGTAAAATATTTGAATCCCCAGCCACAACCAAAGGAAAACAGACATTTGCAGGCATAATAAAAATATATAACAAATTGAAGGAATTCCACTAAAAGTCTTGTGTGAACTAAAACAGCAAAAGACACAGAAAGGAAGAAACCTTGATGACGAAAATTTGGCAAATCTAAGCAAGTTTAAAGTAGAGTGGCTTTTCTTTCCCCTTAGCTTCTTTGAGGTCAATGAAAGATAGGAGAATGCAAGGTGGCTAATGGGGAGGAGGATGTAAAAGGGGGAAATGAGTGGACAAATTAGCAGGATAATTAATGCATGGGAAAGGGGCGGGGAATAGCTGACTTAGAGGAGGAAAAAGAAGCGAGATAGAGCTATTTGTTAGTGCCTAAAGGGAGGAAAAAGACAAGATTAAGAGGCTCTAACTGGTTGTAGAAAGAAGGCTGAAGTGGGTAAAATGTTACATGATGTAAGGTTCAGAGATGATGCAGGGATGTGTGTAGAAAATGGGGTGAGGTGAAGATGAATGTGCTTGAAAGTGGCTGAAGGAGTGGGGGTCTCCCCAGGACAAACGGAGTTTACTCGATAGATGGAAGATGGGGAATTTTTCGAAGGCTGGATGGGGAAACTGAGATGAGTAAAAAGATCTGAGTGGATAGATGATGATGCCTAAAGAGAAATTTTATTCCCCAAAGTAGCCTTCTTTTCTTTCTTAGTTATACTGATTAGCTTTAGGCCCTATTCTTTCATTAGTCCTCTTTTCTGGATGTTACATTATCTTCTTAACATATTTGCTTCCACTCTCTACTGTAATACATCAATGTATTCAATTCTTCATTTAAATGCAAACAACAATAATATTTCTACTGTGTGCTATCTATTGCCCAATTTTCTCAGGCTATTTTGTTGTTGTTACTTTAACGAATTTGCTGGAAAAAAATATTCAAAGATGTTCTAGGTCTACAAAACACACATATACCTCTAAACTTTGTAACAAGACATCAAGCCCTCATGCCCTTCCTTACTTATTCTGTACAGGGCATGACCTTCCAGATACATTTCTTGGCTAGCCACTGACTAGGAATGACTATTTTTAAAGCCACAGACCTCTCTCTCCTTTATGAACCTCTTCTCAACCTCTTAACAAAAATTAATTCCTCTCTCCATTATGTTCAATTACACCATTTATCACATTGTCTGGCACAGTAGGTGACTAATTAAAGTTCGTGGACTCTTCAGTGAACAAATACAGGGATGACACCTCCTTTAAATTATGTGAAGCAAGATTCTTGGAGAGAATTAGCCTTCAAAATTTCATTCCCTGAATAATTTTCTTTCCCACTAAGAAAACGTGGCTGCCATACATATTTTTTCAATGTAGCTCAAAGCCAGTGGCTTATATAAACTCTCCTTTGTCGATGTGCCTCCCCTTGCTCCACCAAGAATCTTATAAATCCTAGCTAAATGCTGTTGTGGACTGCTTGCGCAGAGAAAAAGAATTTTCTGCTTTCTGAATCTCTTAACCAGATTTCTTCCCTGCCACCAGCAGTCTGGAAGCTCTCTATCAAGAATTTCTATCTCGCAAAAAAAAAAATAAAGTTTTGAATACCAAGAGAAGGAAGAATGTGAAACCTGCAATCCCTTCTGCCAGGGCTTTCAGCTGCTGAAACCCAGCATTACCTGGACGTCCTTCAGAATCCAGTCCGGTGACAAAAAGGCCAAGGAGCCAGGGGGAAGGGGCAGGGAGTGGGGGTGCACAGTTTATTTCAACCCTTAGCAAATGACTGAGCTCTAGAAAATGAGTGTGTTTTATGCTTGGTCGGAGTTTCTTTCCCATTCCTGTATTTCAGACGCACAGCAACTTTAAGTTTGCTGCCAGCTATACGTCATGAAAGGGAAGCTTTTCATCAAAGGGAAGAAGAAAAGGAAGGGGGAAGAATCCTACCTTTACAAAACAGAGTAATTCTTTGCTTCTGCTCCCTTTGCCCACATCTCTCACCTGCGTCCAAACCAAAACACAGTAAGTAAGCAGTTTGTTGCGACACCCCTTGAAGGTTTTTTCCTTTGGAAGGTAATTCTGCTCCAGGCGCCAGTTGCCTCTACACGCCCTGCCTCTGCCCCTCCCTCTTGCCCTGTGCAACCTTCTCCAACTGCATTCTGCGGCCCTTCTACCAAAGCTAAAGAAGGAATTGTCCGCAATCAGGAAAACAGATTAGCCTCAAATTTGGCAAAGCAGGGGCTTGCTCCTTAGGACTATAAGAGCAAGCTCAAAAGGGAAGCCGCAGCGGGCTTCCGTCTTAAAGAAACCTATTCCTGCATCATCCCAATTTGGAGCGCGTGTCTCTAAATAAAGAGCATGGTGGTCTCTCCCCTATGGCAGTAGTGGATAGAGCCTTTCCGCAACTTCCAATTTGCAGTTTCTTCTTTCTGTGAAGGGGATTCCCCAGCCTGCGCTTTCGCCTAAGGTTACAAACCCTCCCCCACCTCACAATTTTGTGGGAAAGATGACCCTCCCCGCCTTCTAGAGAGCTTGCTCTGTGACAGGCGAAGCAGCAGCCACGGGGTTTTTTTTTAAAGAGGCCGTTCTTCACATCTTTTTTATCACCCGAGGGGAGAGAAAACAGCAGAAATTTAACACCAGTTACTACTATTATTGCATCTGGAACACTTGCCCTCTAAAATGTTGCTAAATAAGTAAAGTCACTGTGAATAGTGAAGGTGCAGGCTGAAAAAGGGAGAGAGCTGGGGCGCGGAGGAAAGGAGGAAATGGAGGAGGGAAGACCCCAAATCTGGGTTTGAACCCCGGGTTTAAAACCGGCGGCGGGCCGCCAGCAGTGGCCACCCCCGCCTCTGGCGCCTTAGCGCGCCTCTGAGGAGCGAGGGACTGGAAGGGGGGGGCTGCGAGCCGGGACCCAGGAGAGGCCGAAGGGACACGAGGGCGGCTGCGCGCAGGGAGCGCGCGGGGCAGGGCTGCTCGTGCTTGCGGGTCGGACTCGCCGCTCGGCTTCCCATCGGCCGGGCCAAGCCTCTCTGCAGCTGACATCATTGCCAGAAGGAGGGGCTGCCCCTGCCAAGGCGACTGAAGAACAGGGTTCTCCGGCCTGGTAGGCAAAGGCGCTCCCTCGCCGCTTGGCGAGTGTGGCGACCTGGCAGCTGCAGCGGGACTCAGCTTTTGGGAACTGTCGCGGCAATTCTTAATTTAGTCGAGGGAGAAAGGTATCTTTAGACCTTAGCGCATCCATCTCTCGGTTCTTTCGTCAAGACCGCCCGCACACGGTCCGCGCTCTCTCTATGATGAACCAGACAAAGGCAAGAAAGGGGGAAACGTGTACATACACTATTACTTCGACTTGCTTCGAATTGCTTCCCCACCCCCAGCCCCGCCGCGACACACACACACACACACGCGCACACACACACACACAGACCCACAGAGGAAAGGCCAGCCCTGGCGCTGGAATTTCCTGCTGGGATTGCGAGAGTTTGTTTCAAACAAGATTAAAAGTGGAATTCCGTCAGTCTTTACCAAGTTGCGCGGGTGCCCGCAAGTACCGTTTCCTTTTCTATTTTGAGTCACACCTGTTTTACTTTTTAGGGGGCCTAGGTCGCTTTAAGTCACAAAGCACCTCTATGTTCTCAGGTGTGCTCAGCGTTCGGAATTCTCTGCATGCTCCTCAGGTTGTTTCCTGGTTGCAGCGCTAAGAGCGCACAGGCGACTGCTATGACACCATCGCCTCCTCCCCATCTTTGCTGCCCCCCCTCCCCCTTCTACCCGGATTTTCAACCAGTTTCTTCCACACACTTTTCTTCGTACAAACAGATCCTAGGCTGGGTTTAAATCCCATTTTGTGATGTTTCCACACAAGAAAAGGACACTTTAAAAATTTTTATTTTGTTTGTTGCTGAGCTTTAATTCTTTTTCTTTTGTCCTAGCCCCTCTTCCCCACGGTTTTTGCTTTGTGGGTGTGTGCCGCAGTGGCGCAAATAGCAATTCCCAGCCCCCAGCCCACATTTTGCATCGGAGAGGCTAGGGCTCACCCGTAAGCGCTTCACATGAGCAGCCTAGCGCCCCACACCCTAAGCCGCAGGCGGGTGAAGCAGAGGAACGCGGAATAAATCATTCTGAAGCAAAAGGGCCCATCTTCGGTTAAGCTCTAAAAGTCTTTCCCTGGGAGAGGCAAGGAAGCGGCTCTGGCTATACACTCTGAGAAAGTGACCTCTCCTCCTACCCCTCAGTCCTTTTGCGACTAAGCGCTCAGATGCGAGTCCCAGCCGCAACCCGGGCGGACTGCCGCTCCGCTCTTCTAAAGTCTAAAAAATACACCCGTTTGCGGCTGCTCGCTTTTAAAAAGTCACATTTTCCGATGAACCTCTTTTAAAAGGTACATTACTTTTCTCGAAAAAAAAGAGCCGTTTTATCGCTACGCGCTTTAAGAAAAAGAATTCCTTTGTGAGGACGTGAACTGTTTCTGGGTTCTGTCTTAGAAAACACCACCTATTTATGGGATAGGTGGGCGGTTTATTGATTTATTTATTTGGCTAAGGGATTACAAGTCATTTCTTTAGAGAAAGAGGAACCCTTTTATGTCTGGCAATACTCTTAGAAAAGTCATTTTTTTTAAATGAGAAAATGATGCCGTTTTTCGGCTAGATTATAAGTTGATTTTTAAAAAATAGGCAGTATTTCTCACACCTACCATCTCCACATCCAGCAGGTGCTGGCTGAGTACAGCCCCATAAAAATAGGGCGGGAAGGAAGGGCGGGGAGGCGAGCGCCAAGAGAAACAGCACCGGGAACCCTGTGCGCTCCTGGCTCTCCTGGCTCTCCTCTCTGCGCCAAGGGTCGTACCCTCAAGGGTTGGAGCCAGCCTGGCAGGGATCCAAACCCGAGCCCCCAGAGGAGCGCAGGGAGGCCAGGGGTAGTTTCTCAGCTAGAGGCATCGCCCCTCAGCTCCAATCTCTCAGCCGGGCGAGTCTGGGAGTCCGGGACGTGCTCTTTTGTCAACACCCGCCCCAATCTTAGAGTTTCCCTCAGCCTCGCTGAAGCTGGCTGTACCCATTAAAGGGAGAGACCTTTTTGCACAGCCAATGTCGGGGAAATTCATGCGCCGACACATTTCTGACAAAAGTGAGAGTTTTCCCAAAGTAACCAAGCGCAGCGGTGGTAGTGCAAAAAGATATTCTCCCTGCGCTCACCTCCGGGGTTTGCTCTTTCTCTTACCTCCCGGGAAGAGAAGGGGGAAGGGAGAATAGCAGAAGCGTCTTTAAAACCACCCCGTTGTCATAGTTCAGACCTCAGGGGCAGGCAGCGGGCAGTGTCCGCGCACTAAGTGTGGACCTCACGCCTCCCTGACAGCACCCTGTACAGGTACCCAGTCCGGTTACTTACCTAATAACGATGCCTTTAGAGTAGAATGAAGAGGTAAACGAAAGGGAGAAAAAAGGCTTCCGCCCGCTCCACGGAGACTGCGACTGCTGTAGCGGGCTCTACCGCCACAGCTCGCAGTCCGCAGAGCAGCCGGAGTCGCTGAGGTTGTTTCTGAGGCTATTCAGGCAGCCCGGGCTGCCTGTGCTGCCTGTGTCGCCGCTGGCACTGCCACTCTGCGCACTCTGTTTGGCTTGCCTTCCTCTTTGCCGCGCGGGCAGCTGAGTGCAGCTACTGCTCACGGCTCCTCCCGCCCCGACAGTTCGCCGACTGCAAGGAGCCAGTGCCGAGCCAGCCCTTTTGAATGGCGAGGGGGAGGGACTTAACCGAGGGGGAGAAAGGGGAAGGAAGGGGGGTGAACCAGGGGAAGGCGTGGGGAGAGAAGTGAACCAGTGTCCGGGCCGCCTGCTGGGAAGGGATGGCGCAGCACCAACTGCTGAGTACCCCCCTCTGGTCCCCACTCCCTGCACCTCACATCCCCCATCGATCCGGGGGCGGCCCCTCCCCGCTGACGGAGAACCAGCAAGAAGGGCGGGGGAGAGATGGAGGTAAGCTTAGGAAGTTACTGCTCGCCTCCTGGAGAAGGAGGCAGAAAGCGTGCTGGCAGCACTCTCGCGTGCGGGACCCGCTGCTGAAGAAAACGCGCCGCTTTCGGGCTGCTAGCTTTCCTGAGCAAAACCCTGGGCATACAATGTTCTCCTCGGTCCTCTGCTCACTCTTCTCTTAGGCTTCCCTTTAAGTTTCACCCATTCACATTTTCTCAGAGAAGTTTGATTTTTCTTGTGTGTTTTTCTTGTGATACCGCTGGCTGCCGACTCCAGCTAGAGAACAAGCATCCCACAGCACCATTTTCTCATACAAAGGATACTTAAGGCAGACTAGGGGTAGTAGGGGCAGAAGCCTGGCAAAGTCACAGTTGGAGCTGAGAGGCTGTCCGCATATATCATACTCAACTGTGAGCGGGGTCTGGTACTTCGATCGCCTTTCCAGATTAATCCTCTGACAGCAGCGAAGGGCTGTGTGTGTGTGTGTGTGTGTGTGTGTGTGTGTGTGTGTGTGAAGGAGGGAAGGAGAAGTTCTAGCGACCTAGCATTTGGCTACCCCAGACAGCAAGCAGGAGTGAGTCAGGTGGCATTGCTGCCAGAGACCAGGCAGCGTCGCGGGCATGGACGGCGCTTTTCCAAGGTAGGAAAGGGGGCAAGAGAGGGAGGAAACCAGCCCGGAGCCTCATGCCTGGTGCTTGCCAGCCAGCTCTGGCTGCCTGGTGGGCGACGGCTGGGTGGGCATCCGGGTGCCAGGTCCCCAAGGACCACTAAAGGTACCAGGAGGAATGTGGCTGGTTTATGCCTTCGAAGGGTCGTGGATATAAGGAAGTAGGGGCCAATTCCCCCGTTCCTGGCATGTGATTAAAAAACCAGTAGTAACAACATCAAAACCACCCCAGCTGGTCAACTCTTATTCTTGTTTCAAGGAACAACTCCTTAAATTTACCCAGACGCCAGAAAATTAACCAGGTGAATTTTCTAAATTCCTCTCTCCAGAAAGGTGTACGATTTTATGGGGAAAATCCACTTTCCGTGCTTATCCTGTAGAAAAACTTATCTTTCTGGTGCTGTGCAATTATTTGAAAGGAGGTGGCTCTTTTTCCTGAAATAAAAGGAGAAAAAGTAGAGAATGTTTCAGAGCACCAATAACACAGTATCCATTTTTTATTTTTTGTCTACTGAATGGAAGAGGAGATGACATCTGCATAGAGATAGAACATCAAGAAGGAAAAATTTTCAGAATTATAATAAGTTGCTTTTCTCTAATAGCTGCTTCAGGGAAAGTTTTTTAACTGAAAGGCAAATCCTTATGACTTGTTTCCCCAGTATATCCTTCTCCATCTTCTTAGCTGCCTCCTTTCCCATTCCTGATATTTTGAAGGTTAAAACCTTGGTTCAAATATTCCTCACGTCACTTTTTTGCATATTTTTATACCGAAAGCCATGCTACTAGGAGAAACATCAGCACCGCAGCTCAATGCAGGTCTGCATGAAAGAAAACAGAGAAATATTTACTTGCACAGGTGTGAGGAGACACTTCGCTATTACATTTTGCTCCTCCTGTAACCGTCCCTTCATTATTCACAGTATCCAGCACATGCATTGCACTCTTCTTGGGAGCTAGGAAATGTCTGAGAGGGGAAATCAGAAGCTGCTAAATGGTTACAGCTCTGACTCTTGGGGATTGCAATACTGGATGAGACTGTGTCATGGGAGATGGCAGGAACTCAATGCAAATAAAATCACTGATTGATCCAGGGACAGTGTGGCACAGGCATGCTATGGGAGTGCTTTCAAATACTAAGAATTATTCATAACATCCACATTAGATACCAATTAATTGATTTCTGAAGATTTCCATTTAATCCCTAGGCAGGAGAAGAGAACTATTTTGTCACCGTTTAAAGTATTTAAAGTTATCATGACAGACTTATGAGGTTAATATTATTATTCCATTTTGCAATTCCTGAAACTGAAATTCATAGAGGACAGGTGATTTGCACAAGACCATGACGCTAAAGAGTAACAGACTCTAGATTTCTATTCAGGGTATATAACTCATAAATTCAGCTACATGGTTACTTTATAGTTAATCTGAATTCTTCTATATATAATATGGAGCAGAGCATTTAGTTTTAGGTGTATAGTCCAATAGGAAATGATCTGAATAGATTAGAAACATTACTTACAGACCAAGGAGACTCTACTAGTTGAACTAAGCAATCCAGAAAATTACCTAAGAAATTGAGTCTGTTGAAAAGACTGACAGAAATCCACATCTGAAAATAATGAAAATTTTCCCCCATTTTCTTTTCTCCTGTGTTCTGTCTGATGGTGGCACCAATGAGCAACGGAATAACCAAAAGGCACCTGGCAAAAAGCTCTAGGCATTCTAACTCTAAAAGGACTGATGAAGACGCTTTTCTGACTACAGACAGAAGGACTCCCCGTTACTGAATGTTTTTAATGTACCATCTGCATTATATAAATTGTCCCATTAATCCTCCAAACCATTCTAAGAGGTAGGTATTATTAGCTTCATGTTTTCCTTAACAAATGAGAAAACAGAGACTCGGTAAAAATGCCCAAGGTATTATAGCTATAAAATACACAGGAAATTCCAACCCGTGTTACGTCCAGTCCATTGTGCTGCCCCTCAGCATACGGTCTTCAGATTGTGTAGTGACACATTTTCAGAATGTGCATTACATAAAAATTTTATGACTAACAAAAGTCCTCAAAAGCAAAAAGGACACTGTGGGAATCTGGTTTTTGGATGAGGTGTCAGGAAGGAACTGTGATATTTATTGCATTTTGTTTCTTCAGTGTTCCCATTAGGAACCTAGACCAGGGTTCTGCTATGATCATAAAAGGGAAATTATGGTAATATATACCCCATAAACATGGAAATATGCATATTCTCTGAGGGATAAACTATAAAGCCATTCTGATTATATAATGGATCAAAGAAGAGTTTTCAAAAACATCAGTGAGTAAGGATGTTTCTCAGGCCTGTAAGAATTGATTAAAACCAAGAAATAACATGCCCATCTAAAAAAGGATTGATCAGCCATAGAATCCTGGTGAAAGAAAACTGAGAGAGATGAGCATTGGCAACACCTATTCATGTACATTTTCATTTCTCTGACAAAATCACCCTTGACATGAGATTGATGAAGCCAATCAAATATTGTTATTTCAATTCACCTTGCATGAAACATCCCTTATCAAGCAATCTGTCATCTCATTGTGATCTGTCTTTCCTTATAGTCTCTGTTCAGAGAAGGAGTGTACAGGTCATGCAGATAGATGACAACAGAGTAATTTGTATTTATCATGTGACAGTTATTTTGCACTAAATTCCATTCTTTTTTTGTGTTTTACATCACAAATTGCACTATTCATTGCACAGACATGTTATAATCAATAGATCATCATTGCTATTGGGAAAGTAGATTGGTGTATGGGAATGAAACAGAAAGACTGGATAAAACACATTCTCCATGATATTTTTAATGTTTAATATTAAACCATCAGCAACAATTGCAATCAGTAGGAGGGAGTGATGCTCAGTAGTTAAGAAAAAACCTTTGATTTTTGACCAAATTTGGAGTCTTGGCTCTGCCATGTTCTAGCTGTCTGGCTGTGAAGAAATTAATCTCTAGACCTGTATTGTCCAATAAGATAACCACTATCCACATGTGGCTACTGAGCACATGAAATGTGGCTTGCCCTAGTTGACATATGCTTCGAGTGTAAAGTACACACCCAATTTTGAAGGTATATCACATAAACACACACACACACACACACACACACACACACACACGTATGTAAAATATATTGACCAGGTCCCATGGTTCAGGCCTGTAATCCCAACACTTTGGAGGACCAAGGCAGGAGGATTGCTTGAGCTCAGGAGTTCCAGACCAGCTTGGGCAACATAGTGAGACCTCATCTATACTAAAAATAAAAAATTCACCAGGTGTGGCAGCGCACACCTGTAGTCCCTGCTACTCGGGAGGCTGAGTTGGGAGCATTACTTAGGCCCAGGACTCGAAGGCTGCGGTGAGCTATGATTGTGGCATTTTTCTCTAGCCTAGGCAACAGAGCAAGACTCTGTTTCAATATATAATATAATATAATATAACATAATATACCATTATCATTGCATATCGGTTACATGATGAAATAATATATTGACTCATTGGTTCAACAAATATATTATTAAATTAACTTCAACTGTGTATTTTTAATATTTTTAGAAAATTTCAAATTACATGTGTGGCTTGCATTACGTAGCTTTTTGGACAGAGCTGTCCTAAAAAGCTACAGTTCCTTCATCTAAAATTAGGGATAATAACCTTATCCACCTCAAAATATTGTAGTGATATTTAAATAAGGTAATTCATCTAAAATGCTCAGCAGAATGTCTAAAATAAAGCTAAAAAGTTGTCACTCTCCAAGACATAAAAAAATAAAGATGTTAAGGAAAATTAAAAGATAACATAAACCTCAAAGGAATAGAGAATGCTTAAAGCAAAAGCCTTAGTTAAGAATTCATTTCTCTTTATCCCAAGTGAAATCATTCTGCTTCTCTCTTTAAAAGCAACAACAAACATTCATGTGCCGTCATAGGGGTAGGGGAACAATACTGTGACCTACAAATATTATAGTGCATATGAAAATGATATGAGAAGTTAAAAGTACTTTCTCAATTCCAAGCATTTTTACTATCATAATTTGTACAGGCAGTTTTACATTTAATTGGTAGATATTTCTAGTATTCAGGCATTCACGTCACAAATGATAATAAGGCTGAAACTGGTACAGATACACAAAAGACAAATGAATTTCTTCAGAAACTAAAGATTGAGAAATGGGAGTAGGTCTGCTAGTTACCAAGCTCTATGCTGTCGGTGGTTTAACTGCTTTACCTAGCAGCTCACCAAATGCATAGCTCAGCTGGAGACACTAGAGGGTACTATTACTGAAAACATAGATGAATGAAATCTTTCAACACACTTCCCCCTCTCCACCACTATAATGTATAAGAATATTTGAAAAGGGCGTATCTGTGAAATGAAAGTAACATTTCTCCATTCCCTCCTGTATATGACTTGCAAGGATTTTTTGGTTTTTGTTTTTTTGTTTTGTAGACCTGGGACTGGCCTTACAACACTACCAAAATAAAAAATATATATATCAGAAGTGTGCTATAATGTTTGGGCCAATAATTAGGAAAAGTTTGAACTCGTTCCCTGCTCTGAGAAATGCTTTACTGAAAGTCCAAGGAGGGGAGGAAAAGAAGGGCTTTCTATAGAGGAAAGATTTCGATAAGAATTCTTAACTACTTCAACGACCTCTGTAATTAATAGGGGTGTGACAACTGTTTGGTAGTCAGGTCATATAGAAGATGTTTTTTTTTCCAGTAGGCTTGAACAGCTCCACAATTGCAGTGGATAAAAGCTGTAGCTGAATTTCTTTCACAAGAACCTGACAATTACAGCCTTATGTTTATAGCTGAACTTTGTTGAAGCACTGAGCGCTGATTATAAATGATTATAAATTATAAATGATTGTAAATGTGGGGTTGTTCTCAAGGTTGCTCTTTTCCCCTGAAGAATTAATTTCTCCTACTGTATTCTTATTTTTCTGCAAATGAATAGCTGCAAACTGTACCAGATGAGGATTTTCATCTGTGTGCTACTGGCCTGTGTTGTGATGGCAGCACGTGAATGGGGAAAATTATTGTTTTTTAAAGAGTAGAATGATTAGAATGCTATTAACAGTCTCTATCTTTCTTGTTTCTTTAGGACAGGTTTTGCCTTAAGTTATCCAGATGTTGCATGGTGAGGTGAAGGACTCCAACAGTTTTATTCGTTGAGAAAAGCAGAATCCTTTTTTTTTTCATTAACAATGAGAATGAATTTTCCTATTCCATCAAGATTTCTATGTGGCCATCTCTTCAGGACATAGGTATCAGCTACTGTTTTAAATTTAGGAAATGCACACACATATGCAACCAACCACATAATGTTTCCAAAGCAATATATTGAGATTGATACAAATACACATTTTTCAAGAATCCTGGACTAATCCCACACTACTCTGAGCCTTCTTTACTTTTTAAGCCTCTTTATTTCTATTATATGACTGTGAACTAAGTAGATTTAACTTTTGTATGCTTTTAAAATCAGTTATATTTTCTGATATGTGATAACAAATATACTGTGTATTTCATTGAAACGTAGAGGAAAACTGCTCTTTTTTTCCTTTTAAAATCAGTGCCTATGGTATAGTCAACAAAGTATTTAATGAGTGGCTATTTTGAGCCATTTTTAATTGGCTGGACTACTGCAGACATACCATTTTAAATGATTACACATATGTCTAGAGAATCAGCATAGGATTTTTGTTTTTCCTTTGAGATTGAACAATTTTTATTTCATCATTACTAAAACTTAGCTGACAATTTTTATTTTTTCATTACTAAAACTTAGCTGGATGTCAGTTTCTGCCTTTAAATAAAATATCCAAATCCAGGATTATTCTCAATTGCAAAAATGCAGCTGGTCTCAACTATTCCTTTTATATTTTCTTTCACATAGGGTAGAAAATGGTGAATCATTGTACTTTCATATAATAAAAAGATGTCTTCAATTTTAAATGTAATTGTCCTTTCTTGAGTAACTTCTAAATGAAGTGAAACCACAAAGGCAGTTTGGCACACTATTGATTCTATCCTGGTTATCTTTTTTGTCAGGCTAGAATGTGAAGGGAAAGGGTTTGGAGCACAGAATGGTTTTCCTTTTAAAGAAAAAAAATTGAATGAAAAATTGGCAATGAAAATAAAATACTGGACCTAGATTCCCAACTCTGTGAATGTTGTTATTATTAGCCTCCACCTTCTCTAGCCCTGTTGCTGGAGCCAGACGCACTAGTCTCTCCTTCAGGCTGAACCTAATCCTGTCATAATAAAGAATCCTTCAGAAACCTTCACTTTGTCAACTGATGGATTTTTGAATTCGATATTTTTTCAGACCCACTGTTCAGTGTTCTTGTAGTGGATCGACCAGATCTGCGTTTTACTCCAAGTCCAAACCTAGTGTTCTAGTTCATACAATTAGTCGTCTAACTCAGTTATCTGGGGACACTGTAGTACCCGTTGCTATTACTAGTGCTCAGGCTCTGATAGTTGGAGCATTGGCACCCTGCTTGGTTTCCACCAGTCCCTTTCTGTGGTGCTCTCAGCTCAGTGTCAAGGAAATATTACCTGCTTCGCTGAGGGTCATGATCCCAAAAGGACAAACTGCTTAGCACTGTCCTACAAATAAGATTACTTATGACTCTAGCTTCTCATTTTATGTTTTATATCCTTGGATCATTTATTTTATGGAAGATGCTGAAGTGGGTAGGCTGTGTTGGTAAGACTTTTTCTGTTTATCAAAATAAGTAATGATGTCTTCCAATGACATTTGTTATTCTTGAATAGTGTGACTGAATTACTTAACACCCACACTTCCAAAACCAGATTTAGATCCAAAAACTAGATTTAGATAAATCATAGATAACTGGAAAATAGTCTGTTATCCCCAAGTGGATTAGGTCTCAGAGAAGAGGAGAAGGAGGAGGAGGGTGGGACATAAGGAATAGGCAAACTCAGGGTCCTGAGGAGGGGAGGCAGTAGAGATACTTTTTTCTTTTTAAATTATTTTTCTTTTATTTTTCCTTCAACTTCACTACTGTAACTTTTCAAATTTATACCATGCTACATCTCTTTCAACTTTTCTGCATGTACTCCAGCGGGGTAAAATGCTCATCTGGAGACTGATGTGGAAATGAAGATGATAGGGAAGAAAGGAATTGAAGTCACCTACTCCCTTCATAATGATTTCCTTTCTGAAAACTCTCCAAGGAAGAGAAGGGTGTTAGCAGTTAGCAAATGATGTAAAGACCACAAATTGGTGTTCAAACCCTGTTTACTTTGAGCTCCCTGTTTACTTTGAGACCCGAGTTTAGGCAGCGTAGTCTGCAATAGAAAGAGAAACTAGGAGAGAAGGCAGTGATGGCGTGTGCACTCTGGCCAAGGCCCTCTAGGGGGCAGCAAAGGAACAAATTGGAGTTGGGGGAGGTAGGCGTGGTGCAGGTTTATACGGAGGATTTCCTGTGTTTCTTTAATACGTAAATATGTGTTGTGACTCTCCAGCAGGGGGATATTAAAAGTTTATTCAACCAGGGAATCTTTTTGAGGTAGTATGAAAAATACTGCTTGGCAGTTGTAAAAGTGCTTGGCTCTTCAAACCTGTCAGCCTATCATGATGTTGATCACTCTGCATATAGCTATTTCCATCAACATTCATTTGATCCCTTGACGTGCTACTGCTCAAACCAGACCAGACCCAGTTTCAAAACTGAGACTACGAAGAGCAATTTATGGATATGAAAATGAAAGGAAATAAAAAGAATAAATCTGTACATTGTAACACAGACACAAGGACTTCCCATTGTAACTATTTTTGACATAATATATTACATTTTTTGCCTAGAACTTGTGATGCATGTAACACAATTTTAACTTAATAAGCTCCTTTTGTTTTGGCTATGTTTTTACGGCATGGCATGTAGGAAAAATAAATGGCTATGATGTATATTACCTAAGATTCTAGAAAGCCTCGATTCAACTTGTGATTCTTTGACATTCTAGCTGTAGAACATTGGATAAGTTACTCAAATTCTTTCAATTTCAATAACTATGTATTGAGAAATGAAATTACCTTGAGAATTGTTATTAGAAACATAAATGAGATAACATAAAAACTGCCATGAAGTACCCGATAAAAATATTTCAATGTAATTTAGCACTCAAAAAATTAGACTTCATTAGGCAGCGAAAGCAGTCATTGAGGTAAAATGAGGCAAAAGAAAAGGGAGGTGGATATAGCTGTATTATCCATTCACTCATTTGTTAGTTCATCTATTCATTCATAAACAAATACTTATTGAAGAACTCTACATCCCAGGCACTTTTTAGCCACATTAATTCGTTAAATAGACTTTCTACTTCATGTTTGGTTTTTAGTTCTAGGTAGTGAGTTATATAATGATAAGTACAACCCCAGCATTGTATAAGTCACTATCCCTTTCACTATTTAATTGAAGTAGGCAGGTAAAAGGGATTGGTAACCTCAATTTATTTGCATAAAATAAATATTACCTCTCACTCCCACCGCACAATTTGAATCTCTCTGAGGATATATCGCACCCTGAAATACAGTCCAAAATTTATAATTCACATAATCTTTTTTATACACATCTATGTTTATAGATATGGATACAGATATTGATATAGATATATAGTGATGAATATTTTGCAACAGGGTGTTGTTCTTATTTTATATCTTATGAACAGCCACACATTGATTGAATAACTGATACAAATAGAGGCAGATTTACCATGGAGCTAATGAAGTTTAAGATTGAGGGTCCTTCACTTACACTGGCCTCTTTTGAGGCCTGATATTACAAAATTATTTTCATATGAAGAGGCAATCCAATGATAGGCACCCAAAAATGTTGGGAAAAAGTATCACAGATATTTATGTATAGGAAAAAACATAATACATACAGGGTTTGGTAGTCTTTACACTTTCAGGCATCCACTGGTGTTCTTGAAATGGGAAAAGAAAAATATTACAGAGATGTGTCAAGCAGCTTATTATTAAAAGTATATAATTTTCTTGGATTCTATAATGTTTGTGATATTTGTCAGCTTCTATAAATTTGGCATTTGTTGTAACCTCTCTTTATAAATAAATATTCTGGTTATACAAAATTTTGTATGGTAATTTTGTATTCTTTTTTTTAAAGAGAGTTAACGTGTAAGTTTCAGATTCCAAAAACTAGGATTCATCCCTATTTATCCATATCAAAAGACCTGTCTTTTATTCTTCCAGAGGAAATACAAAATTTAAAAAACTGGAACTTAAGTTATAAGTTTGTACCTTTATGAGTAGATTAATTTGGACCTACAAAATAACTTCAGATTTTAATTCTGAAAAAAATTTAATAGTTTCCGTAGTTTTCTGTAGTATGATTCTTGGCTACATCAGTGACTAAAGGGAAAATAGAAACCTCCATACGCTTGTGGAAGAGATTATAGTTCTTTCATTTACAGAAAGCATGCAATAACCATATGTAGCTCTGTAAACTAGGACTGGCCTTTATCAACTTAGAGATTAGTGAATTTGTTCGAGTTTTGGACTTTTGGTCATAGACATTTTTATTCTCAGATAATCATCTGTCATATTTAAAGGATATATGGGATTCCTGATGAATCAAATAAAATGGAATTTTATATTGAACATAAAATAGAAAACTATCAAATCAATCATTCTTTTGAGTTCTATGATGACGATCCTCTCTTGGATTAGTTTTTTCCACTTTGAACTGCTAAGTATATTATATTTCACACAAAGGAACATTAGTCAAATTTAAAAACTTTTCTTCAGACAAGTTGTCATTTTTGTTATTTTTAAATGACAAGAGATAGGAAGAAATTGCAGTTTTCTCTATTCCAACTGATGTTCTATGCTGTTATTTACAATGTGCTCTGAAAAGAAAAGGACGTCATAATTTAGAAACAAAATTAAAGTGAATGGGATTCCTTTATGAAAATACAGTGTAATTAAACTTCAGCAAGTCTAGATTCACATCCCCTGAATCTCTTAATTGTTTTTATGTTTGCTACAATACTGCACATAGTATTTTTCAATTTAAAACATGTTCATAGTTGTATAAGAAAATAAGCAACTTGAAATTTATTAGTTAAAATGAAGCACTTGTTAATTAAAATGTCATCAAATCTTGAATTTTCTTCTTGGATCAGTTTCCTTAAGTAAAGCAGGTGTGTGTTTAGAGGTGTCAGAGGCATTTGAACCAGACCAAATCCATCTTGTATAGGGGCTGGGGAAAATAAGGCTGAAACCTACTGGGCTGAATTCTCAGGAGGTTAGGTATTCTTAGTCACAGGATGAGATAGGAGATCAGCACAAATTATGGGTCACAAAGACCCTGCAGATAAAACAGGATGCAGTAAAGAAGCCAGCCAGATTCCAACAAAACCAAGATGGCAATGAAAGTGATTTCTGGTCATCCTCACTGCTCATTATATGATAATTATCATGTGTTAGCATGCAAAAAGACACTCCCACCAGTGCCATGACTGTTTACAAATGCCATGGCAACATCCAGAAGCTACCCTATATAGTCTAAAAAGGGGAGAAGCCCTCAGTTCCGGGGAAATCCCCATCCATTGCCTGGAAAACTCATGAATAATCCACCCCGTGTTTAGCATATAATCAAGAAGTAACTATAAGTATACACAGTCCATGCCACTGCTCTGGCTCTGGAGTAGTGATTCTTACTTTCTTTACTTTCTTAATAGACTTGCTTTCACTTTATTCTATGGACTCACCCTGAATTCTTTCTTGTGTGAGGTCCAAGAACCCTATTTTGGGGCCTGGATCTGGACCCCTTTCTGGTAATAGAGGTATGGCCAAAGATCCATTAGTGAATAATGATGAATAAGTGCACTGCCTGCATATGTATATGATCCTGCCTGTTCCTTTTTATTTTATTTTTTAAGCAGTGGTGATGAGTTTCCTTTATGATCAAAACGTAGATATTCATTAGAGGCTTAGTTAATGGCAAAGGGCCTAGTATGGGGGGAGACAAAATATTTTTTCTGTACAAAATTAACTAGCCTATGTGACTCAAATTCATGTGCTTGGGCTCATTAGCACAATGCTCTAACTAATTAAACTAATGAATCTCAAAATAATGACAAATCCTAAGTTTGAAAGAATAAAGTTCTTTAACTCAGCTTGTTAAAGACTATTAAGCAAGTTTGCCAAAAATGTTCTAACACTTCCTGAAATCACAATGACATTAGGGAGCAAGAATTGTATTTCTTTCCTTTCCTCATGATACTTGTTCATAAATGCAGAGAATGTCATAAATTAGCAGTCAGTAGTCTACTGGCAAAGTATTGATAGTAATGATAAACCTAAAAGGTGATGAGGGACTCAAAAAAAAAGGAAGATAGGGATTAGAAATGCTGGATATTACTAAGACACTAAGTATTCCTGTTCACACACAAAAGATAATTTAAGAAATTTAATACATCTCTTCTGAAACATATGGTGCTGAATTGGAGACCAAGCCAATGTAAAACCACCAAATCTAGTATTGGGGGATCACCAAATCTAAATTGGGCAATTAATTTATTTGGGTCATTTTGGTGATCCTAATACCTATTGCAAGAGGACTGAAGCACATCCATGAATTTGCTTATTAAGCTATCTAAAGATTCATTCGGACAGCCATATAACCCTTGCCAAATACTTATTAGCTAAGTGATCCATTTACTTAAAATGGTGTTTTCTAATGCATGTTCCCTGGATTCGTAATTAATATTAGCCTTAAAGACTCTGAGATGTATTACAGCAAAAAAATATATGTAACATTTTCTAACCCAGAATTTCCCATGTCTGTCTTTTTTCTTTGCTTTTTAACAGTAACACCTATTATTGTACTGTTAAACCCATTTCAAGAGATGGTGACTTGTAAGGCATATATATTCCTACTGAGAAAACATAAAAGAATAGATGAAAATTACTTGTATATTGTAGAAGTATCACAAGAGAAAAATTGAGGCCCAATCTTGTTTACAGTTACTTCATGTCTCTAAATTTTACATTTTTACATTTTAATGTCTGAAATGATATAGTATTTTAAATGGTTAAAATCAAATTAATAAATTTATGTAGCTATTTTTAAAATTCTAGGCACTTGGACTAGAGTATCTTTATTGTGTATCAAAATGTCCATGAATACAGGAAAAGCAACCTCAGTTATTTGGTCCAAGTCCAATTTCTGCTAATTTACATTCTGTCTAATTAAAATACCCTTTATAACATTATATGTAGTTTTCTTTCACTTTGTCTTTCAAACCTCTGTGTTATGTTGTCTCATATTATGTAGTTGCCAAGTTGCACCGCTGAGAAGACAGATACATTGGTTGGTTTGTAAAGTGACTGTAGATGTGTAAGGGAGGGAAAAAAAAATATTTTCTTCTACCTTCTCAGATTTTGGATCTAGAGACCTGTGAATTAAACTAAAGACAGATTATCAAAAGAAAAGGCATACAAACTTTTTTGGTTTTAATATTTTTACATGCACTGGAGCTTCACAGAAATAAAAAACTCTAAGGGGCCTTTAGACCAAGGGGATTATAGGCCATTTTAACAAAGAGTGATAAATTATTCAGAAGTGACTAGACAAAGGAAAGTAGTTTGAGATTCTATGGAGTAAATTGTGGGACGGTGACTAGGAAATATATGGGGGAAATAATGGTGGATAGGGGTTGATTATGCACACTCATCTTGGTGCCATCTCCAATGACAAGAATCATTCCCCTCTTTCTGGTATGGGTGAGGAAGACAACTTTACACATGGAAATTTCATTGCAAGTGGAAATTTCCTTTACGAAAGTGTAATGTATGACATCAGATAGGGGGAGGGCAGAGAGCTCATCCTGTGCCTGATGTTCTCAATTGCCTTCAGGTTAAAATAATCTTTAGCCAAAGTGGCATATTTTGGGGTAGCATATTCTGATCTCCTTCAGATGTTAATCACAGTATATGTGAAACACATTTTGCTGTGTCATAATTTCTTTGTTAGATTTCTTTTGCATTTGTTTCTTTAAGAGATTAACTTTTTTACAGGCATGAGAAAGAACTAATCTATATTCCAATGTATGTAGTTCATCACATTACCTCAGTGATCTCATAGACCAATTTCACTTTAGAGATTATTGACATGTCAGGTGATTATAGTCAGGCTTATCAATTTTTCTGATAACAGTCAACCATGAACACTAAAGCCACATATTTAAATTAGTGTTTATTTTGGTTAAGGATTAAAATAGTTTCAGCATAGGATATATTAACAGTTGTCAACAAAAGAAGTCCAACCCTGTAAAATATTTGAAAAGATTTATTCTAAGCCGAATATGAGTGACCAATGGCCTTGACACACCCCTAGGAGATTCCGAGAACATGTGCTCAAGGCAGTCTGGCTACAGCTTGGTTTTATATATTTTAGGGGGACATAAGACATCAATCAACACATGTAAAGTGTCCACTGGTTTGGTCTGGAAAGGTGGGACAACTTGAAGCAGGGGCTTCCAGGTCATAGGTGGACTCAAGAATTTTCTAACTGGCAATTGGTTGAAAGAGTTAAGTTATCGTATAAAGACCTAGAATCAATAGAAGGGAATGTCTTTGTTAAGGAGTTGTGGAGACCAAGGTTCACATTATGCAAATCGAATGAACAGAAGGGAATGTTTCTTATAAACTTAAAGAGGCTATTCTATCAGTCTTAAGGTCTCTGTTTTAATATTAATGCTGGTCAGCTGTGCCTAAATACCAAGGGGAGAAGGGGATTTTGAGGTAGGTCTGACTGCCACTTCCCATTATGGCCCGAACTAGTTTTTCAGGTTAACTTTGGAATGTCCTTGGCTGAGGGGGAGATCCATCAGTCGGTTGTGGGTCTTAGAATTTTATTTTTGGTTTACAAAGTAAAACACTTATTTTTAGTATTTTTTATTAAACTCTCTTCAGGAAATAATATGCTTAATAGATCAATAACATTTATAATTTCATTCTCTAAACCAAAGTCATTTTTGAAAAATCATGAAGGAATTTATAGCACTAAATTGTCATTTTTAAAAAACCCATGAGACATATATTTTTCTAAAATTAACTATATATATATATACATATATATATGCACTCCTTCAATTAGTTATAAAATTATGTTTCTAATTGGATAGCAGAATATCCCTAGTAGCTGTAAATGTTGGCTTCTTTGGTAAACTTTGTTGTAAGTTTAAGACAAATGCACATCTTCTTTTAAGTGGCATTCTGAACTCCTGAGGTATGTGTATTGGATGTAAAGGAAGTACTTATTCAATAATTACATACTTTGTTTGAATAGTGGCACTACCCATTTTTAGCTCACTTATAACCAACTATTTTCAATATGTTTTTTAGAAAAGCACCACAAATCTATACAATTTTCAGGTTGCAAATTTAGTTTTCATCACTTGGGAAGAAATAAAATGTCATGTTCTGAAATGGGACAGCCTAATGGGTCTGGGACTTTCTATGCATTTACTAATATCAGTAGGGTATTGAGTTTTCTTGGCAAGTGTTGTGGAATTTGTCAGTTTTGCTATATAAATTTCACAGTCATTTTTGTAGCTGGTAATAACTACTTCTTGTGATGGAGCACTAAAAGTAGTTGTTTTAGAATGATGGTTTAAAAGAAAAAATTGATTTTTCTGCTTTGTTATCTAATGAATTAGAAATAGTAAGTATATTTTATGACAACAAGCTTCATTTCATAATTGAGAAGACATCATGGTCTGTTAAGGTACAGAAATCAAAGGGTAAATGAATGAAGAAAAAGTTACTAAAGAAGTTAAATTACTTCCTATTCATTTCTTAGAACCAAAATATTCTATATAAAAACCAGTGACTAGCTCTCTTCAGTTGTCATAATTTTAAACAGATATTTGAAACTGGAAGACAGATTAAGGATTATATGGTCCATCTGTTTTCACTCAGAACCCCTCAGAGTTGCAGGGTTTTATACAAATGCATGAGAAGTTATGGTATGGAGTGCAATGAGAAGGAAGCTTGGAAGGCAAGGCTCTGGGTCATACTCAGTTAGAATTGCTTTGTTTTTTGACTGACATATATGTAAGATTCCACTTGATATTTTGTGTGAAATCAGAGTTCTGCTGCTAAAAAATATAAAATGCTTTTAAGAAAATCACTGATCTAGGTCATCTTCCTCATTTCACAGATAATAAAATTGAGGCTCAGTTCATTTAAAAACTTATTCATGAAAACATCTATTAACTGAGTGGCAGAATAAATTGTTTATCAAAGAAACTTGCTAGGATATATTTATTATCCCTTACATTTATATATGATTTTAAAGGTTTCAAAGCAGGTTCATATCTGTTATTTGATTTGATTCTCAAAAAAATAACACTATTAAGTGGCTATAGAAAGCCTTAGTCCAATTTTAGAGATGAGGAGATGAGATTGAAAGAGACAAAGCCACCACAGTTATACCACATTCATGGTAGAATCAGAATGACAACTAAGTTTTCTTGACTCCCAGAAGTTTATCCTGGAGCATAGCTTTTTGTAATAATAGCTTGCCTAGGAAGTGAACATTTACAGAGATGTGGCACATATACTAAACCCCCGGTTAGCTGTCACCATAGGTTCTCAACTCACTGAGACCTTAAAAAAAACATCTAGACCTGCATTCCCATTTAACTGATGGAACTGAGATTCAAGCTAAATAAAGGAGCTTATATTTGGAGACAGGGCTTGAATTAAAATCCACATATCCTAAATTCAAATTAGTGTCTTTTCTACCAAACTGCACTGTATCAATTTGCAATATATGCTATTCAGTGAAAACACACACTCTTTTGTGAAAACACACATTCCTGCCAGTGTTCTGTATCTGTGCTTTTAATAACCTAGGTCCTCTATCTTAGAATGCCAAAGGCCTTGCTGCAATGTAGTTATATATCCTCTGAGATGTGTGTGATAAGCCCTTTTATGAATTGCAATGTCCATACATGAGAAAGGAATGTTACTTGCGTGAGGAGGGATTATGGTCATCTAGCATTTGTATAGAAATTGTAGTTTTCCTGGTCAATTACTGTGAGACTTTGCAACTGAAGAAGTTGATACATGCTTTTCTGTCCAGGAGAAAGCATAAATTCCCATGTTTTCTGGATGAGGTCTCAGTCCATTAGAAGTTTAACACCCTTGAAAGGTGAGTAATGTTCTTTCTAGATCCCAGCCAATTCAGCCCTAAGGATTGTGCTAATTTAAACAATTGTTTTTCTAAATCTCTATCAGATCTATTAGAAGCATTTTTTCATACTTTTCTGTGTGTATTCTATTTCTACCCTTATGGTTTTCTCAACTGTAAAGCTTCTTTCCAAAACACACATGCAAAAGTAAATGTGATTTAACATATCTTCAGTAATAACATTAGTAGCACAATTACATAGTCTTTAATTGACCTTTGTCTATATTGGGATTTAGCAACCATATTTTTGGCAGTAAAAATGAAGAAAAAAATATAAGCTACTCTCATGAACTTACAGTTTTCATTTAGTTGAAAATAAAATAAGAAATTATTGAATTTCTTGAATTATTGAAGAAGGTCCATTTGAATGGCACACTTCATGGGGGAAAAACATGACTCCAATGGCAGAAATAAGTTAGCCATAGAAGATGTATTCCACAGCAACTGTTATGTACAAATCATTATCAAATGCACATTAAAAATGTCAAATACCGGTAAATAAATACTAGAGTTTGGATGAAGGTGAGGAGGTCAGTTATGAGGATAGGATCTGTTTAATAAATAGGATTGAGCAGGACAGGAAAGGTTCTAAGAAGAGAAAGAAGTCAAAGGGTAAAGGCAATGCTTCATGACCCCTAGAAGCTATAGCTCAGGGCTGCTACGTAGGGTTGTACAATTGTTCACAGCACAAAGGACTAACAAGTGGGACAGACAGAGGCTTAAATCCAAGTTGTCCATCCTGAAGATTTTTTCTCTTAAAGGAAGAGGTGCTATGGCATGCAGAATTTTAAATATGTCCTCTCCTCCCCAAAACTGCCCAAGATTTCTGTGCCTGGTTTATTTAATCAAACACCGATCTAGATACAATCATGAAGGGATTTTCCTAATGTAATCAATGTCCAAATCAGTGGACTATAAAATACACATATGATCTAAGTGAGACAGGCCTTATCACATGACCCCTTTAAAAGCAGGGAGTTTTCTCCTGCTGGTCACAGAAGAGAAAGAGAGAAATCCAAAGAACAAGGGTGATTCAACACACCTTTGCTGGCTCTGAAGATGGAGGGGGCCATGTGAGAAGAAATGTGGGTATCCATTAGGAGCTGAAAGGAGATCTCAGATGACAGCCATCAAGGGAGCAGGAGCCTCAGTCCTACAACTGTAAGAAATTGGATTCTGCCAACAACCTGAATGAGCTTGGAAGAAGGCTCTTCCCCAAAACTTGCAATAAAGGAGCACAGACTTTCCAACACCTTGATTTCAACCTTATGACACCCTGAGCAGAGAACCTAGTCTAGTCTAGCTGAACTTCTGAACTATAGACCCTGTGAGATGAAAAATGGGTGTTGTTTTAAGCCTCCAAGTATGTAGCAAATTATTATGGTAGCAATAGAAAACTAATACAGGCGCCTTAAAAAAATATCAAGAGGCTTTACGACCTAGTAAGCTGCTCCCTTTGTGACTTTATGGCCTAGCTCTTCAGAAAAGCAGAGGAAAGTCTTAGAGGTGATCAATCACACATTTTCCTTTTTGATTCTCACTTCAAGTACCATCCCTTTCAGGGAAAGTTGTGACAATTGTTAGTGTAACTACTGACCTGAAAAGCTCAAAGGGTTGTTTGTTCTGCTTGTTTCCTTTTCACCTTTAATGTCTTTCACAGAACGTCATTAAGAGTGACTTCATTGCAAACTCCTTAATTAAGCTAATTCTTCCATAAACAGATTTTTAGGTAAGGTTTTAAATTGTGAATGTCATTAAGTACTTCTTAGAGCTAGCATCCAGCTTATTGGAAAGAGGCAATAATTCATTAGGGCTTTCAGTGGGGCCATGTTGTGAGCTTGGAGGGGCTACGGGGAATAGGGTTTGACACCTAACCTTGTCAGTGAAAAAGCCAAGCCTCGTAACTAACTAATGTCTGGAATAAGTGACAGTAAAATTGTTACTCATCACACAGATGCTTCTTAAAACAAAACAAAACAACAACAACAACCCAAAACTCAGAAACATGGCTGAGTGGATACTGCTGAAATGTTGTATATTTTAATAAAAGAAAAGCAACTTTATTTTTCTACTATGGACTAAAAAACTATAAAATACTTTGTATTTTTGCTTCTTTTTGTTCATCCACAGGCTAGGCTTTCTGATTTTCACAATCAAAGCAACACAGTGTTCAACAAGTAAGAAAAAAACTAGAGAAGAATTCCAGTTAACTCTATTAGTTAGAAAGTTAACTAAAAGTTCCAGTTAACTCTTTGCATCATCTTTGATGCAAAAACAAATCAAAACAAATCAAATAAAAAATGTAGTGTTACACTAAATCTTATAAAGAAAATTTTTGTTTGCTTTTTAAAGTGTACTTTATTGTGTGTGTGTATACATATATATATATATATATTTTTTTTCAGCTTTAGAGGTTTCAAATTTCCCGAGAAAATGTAACTAAGATATGAACTCCTATGGCTAGCAACATGTTAACGTTATGAACATATTGTAACAGTTCCAGATTATTTGTTGTTTTATAGTAAAGTAGAGCACAAGTCTAGGAGTAGTCTGCAGACTTTTATGACTTAATGGACTCTGAAGAAAAATAAAATAACTCTGTCACCTAAGGCTATAATCTCCAATGAAATGAATGAAAATGAAAGCATCATATATGCTATTACTAGATGAAAATAAATTTTATTATAAACAAACTGCTATTATGGCAAAGGAAATAGTAGTCCTGTTATGTAGGGATCACTACTCACTATCTCTAAATTATAGTACATCCCAAAATAGGAGTGCTGATACACAAAATATTACACTCCAGCTGAATGGACTCTGACAGTGTTTAAAATAACACAGTCATATACTCAGGCATGTAAAGTGCTTTCCCTGAAACTTTTATCATTCATGAATTCCTGCTTAGACATTACTTCTTATTCCTCGGATTAAATAACTGGCTTATTCTCTTAATCAGTCTCATTTATCTACTTCATGGGTCTCCATTTCATTTCACCTAAACTACTGCTTAGAAATGGAAAATATAACAACATTTAAGAGAAGATGCTTTATCTCTATAATAAGGACTCTTTATAGAAATGTGATTTTGGATTATGTTTAGTTTGGCCTATAAACACTGATTATTAATATGACATGGCAAAAAAACTAATAACGATTCCTCTTTGTCTCTATAATTAGAAAATAAAAAATTCTGAAGTCTTTTTTTAATGTTTATATACACCAATGCAGAGCAGTCACAACACCTAAAATAGTCAATTGCTTTAAACAAGCTATTTGTGACTTTCTTTTTTTTTTTAATTTTCTTTTTTTTTATTATTATTATACTTTAAGTTTTAGGGTACATGTGCACATTGTGCAGGTTAGCTACATATGTATGCATGTGCCATGCTGGTGCGCTGCACCCACTAACTCGTCATCTAGTATTAGGTATATCTCCCAATGCTCTCCCTCCCCACTCCCCCCACCCCACAACAGTCCCCAGAGTGTGATGTTCCCCTTCCTGTGTCCATGTGTTCTCATTGTTCAATTCCCACCTATGAGTGAGAATATGCGGTGTTTGGTTTTTTGTTCTTGCAATAGTTTACTGAGAATGATGATTTCCAATTTCATCCATGTCCCTACAAAGGACATGATCTCATCATTTTTTATGGCTGCATAGTATTCCATGGTGTATATGTGCCACATTTTCTTAATCCAGTCTATCATTGTTGGACATTTGGGTTGGTTCCAAGTCTTTGCTATTGTGAACAATGCCGCAATAAACATACGTGTGCATGTGTCTTTATAGCAGCATGATTTATAGTCCTTTGGGTATATACCCAGTAATGGGATGGCTGGGTCAAATGGTATTTCTAGTTCTAGATCCCTGAGGAATCGCCACACTGACTTCCACAATGGTTGAACTAGTTTACAGTCCCACAAACAGTGTAAAAGTGTTCCTATTTCTCCACATCTTCTCCAGCACCTGTTCTTTCCTGACTTTTTAATGATTGCCATTCTAACTGGTGTGAGATGGTATCTCATTGTGGTTTTGATTTGCATTTCTCTGATGGCCAGTGAAGATGAGAATTTTTTCATGTGTTTTTTGGCTGCATAAATGTCTTCTTTTGAGAAGTGTCTGTTCATGTCCTTTGCCCACTTTTTGATGGGGTTGTTTGTTTTTTTCTTGTAAATTTGTTTGAGTTCATTGTAGATTCTGGAGATTAGCCCTTTGTCAGATGAGTAGATTGCAAAAATTTTCTCCCATTCTGTAGGTTGCCTGTTCACTCTGATGGTAGTTTCTTTTGCTGTGCAGAAGCTCTTTAGTTTAATTAGATCCCATTTGTCAATTTTGGCTTTTGTTGCCATTGCTTTTGGTGTTTTAGACATGAAGTCCTTGCCCATGCCTATGTCCTGAATGGTAATGCCTAGGTTTTCTTCTAGGGTTTTTATGGTTTTAGGTCTAATGTTTAAGTCTTTAATCCATCTTGAATTGATTTTTGTATAAGGTGTAAGGAAGGGATCCAGTTTCAGCTTTCTACATATGGCTAGCCAGTTTTCCCAGCACCATTTATTAAATAGGGAATCCTTTCCCCATTGCTTGTTTTTCTCAGGGTTGTCAAAGATCAGATAGTCGTAGATATGCGGCGTTATTTCTGAGGGCACTGTTCTGTTCCATTGATCTATATCTCTGTTTTGGTACCAGTACCATGCTGTTTTGGAAACTGTAGCCTTGTAGTATAGTTTGAAGTCTGGTAGTGTGATGCCTCCAGCTTTGTTCTTTTGGCTTAGGATTGACTTGGCGATGTGGGCTCTTTTTTGGTTCCATATGAACTTTAAAGTAGTTTTTTCCAATTCTGTGAAGAAAGTCATTGGTAGCATGATGGGGATGGCATTGAATCTGTAAATTACCTTGGGCAGTATGGCCATTTTCACGATATTGATTCTTCCTACCCATGAGCATGGAATGTTTTTCCATTTGTTTGTATTCTCTTTTATTTCCTTGATCAGTGGTTTGTAGTTCTCCTTGAAGAGGTCCTTCACATCCCTTGTAAGTTAGATTCCTAGGTATTTTATTCTCTTTGAAGCAATTGTGAATGGGAGTTCACTCATGATTTGGCTCTCTGTTTGTCTGTTGTTGGTGTATAAGAATGCTTGTGATTTTTGTACATTGATTTTGTATCCTGAGATTGTGCTGAAGTTGCCTATCAGCTTAAGGAGATTTTGGGCTGAGACAATGGGGTTTTCTGGATATACAATCATGTCATCTGCAAACAGGGACAATTTTATTTCCTCTTTTCCTAATTGAATACCCTTTATTTCCTTCTCCTGCCTAATTGCCCTGGCCAGAACTTCCAACACTATGTTGAATAGGAGTGGTGAGAAAGGGCATCCATGTCTTGTGCCCGTTTTCAAAGGGAATGCTTCCAGTTTTTGCCCATTCAGTATGATATTGGCTGTGGGTTTGTCATAGATAGCTCTTATTATTTTGAAATATGTCCCATCGATAACTAATTTATTGAGAGTTTTTAGCATGAAGCATTGTTGAATTTTGTCAAAGGGCTTTTCTGCATCTATTGAGATAATCAGGTGGTTTTTGTCTTTGGCTCTGTTTATATGCTGGATTACATTTATTGATTTGCGTATATTGAACCAGCCTTGCATCCCAGGGATGAAGCCCACTTGATCATGGTGGATAAGCTTTTTGATGTGCTGCTGGATTCGGTTTGCCAGTATTTTATTGAGGATTTTTGCATCAATGTTCATCAAGGATATTGGCCTAAAATTCTCTTTTTTGCTTGTGTCTCTGTCAGGCTTTGGTATCAGAATGATGCTGGCCTCATAAAATGAGTTAGGGAGGATTCCCTCTTTTTCTATTGATTGGAATAGTTTCAGAAGGAATGGTACCAGTTCCTCCTTGTACCTCTGGTAGAATTCAGCTGTGAATCCATCTGGTCCTGGACTCTTTTTGGTTGGTAAGCAATTGATTATTGCCACAATTTCAGATCCTGTTATTGGTCTATTCAGAGATTCAACTTCTTCCTGGTTTAGTCTTGGGAGAGTGTATGTGTCGAGGAATTTATCCATTTCTTCTAGATTTTCTAGTTTATTTGTGTAGAGGTGTTTATAGTATTCTCTGATGGTAGTTTGTATTTCTGTGGGATTGGTGGTGATATCCCCTTTATCATTTTTTATTGCGTCTATTTGATTCTTCTCTCTTTTTTCCTTTATTAGTCTTGCTAGCGGTCTATCAATTTTTTTGATCCTTTCAAAAAACCAGCTCCTGGATTCATTAATTTTTTGAAGGGTTTTTTGTGTCTCTATTTCCTTCAGTTCTGCTCTGATTTTAGTTATTTCTTGCCTTCTGCTAGCTTTTGAATGTGTTTGCTCTTGCTTTTCTAGTTCTTTTAATTGTGATACTAGGGTGTCAATTTTGGATCTTTCCTGCTTTCTCTTGTGGGCATTTAGTGCTATAAATTTCCCTCTACACGCTGCTTTGAATGCGTCCCAGAGATTTGGGTATGTTGTGTCTTTGTTCTCATTGGTTTCAAAGAACATCTTTATTTCTGCCTTCATTTCATTAGGTACCCAGTAGTCATTCAGGAGCAGGTTGTTCAGTTTCCATGTAGTTGAGCAGTTTTGAGTGAGATTCTTAATCCTGAGTTCTAGTTTGATTTCACTGTGGTCTGAGAGATAGTTTGTTATAATTTCTGTTCTTTTACATTTGCTGAGGAGAGCTTTACTTCCAAGTATGTGGTCAATTTTGGAATAGGTGTGGTGTGGTGCTGAAAAAAATGTATATTCTGTTGATTTGGAGTGGAGTGTTCTGTAGATGTCTATTAGGTCTGCTTGGTGCAGAGCTGAGTTCAATTCCTGGGTATCCTGGTTGACTTTCTGTCTGGTTGTTCTGTCTAATGTTGACAGTGGGGTGTTAAAGTCTCCCATTATTATTGTGTGGGAGTCTAAGTCTCTTTGTAGGTCACTCAGGACTTGCTTTATGAATCTGGGTACTCCTGTATTGGGTGCATATATATTTAGGATAGTTAGCTCTTCTTGTTGAATTGATCCCTTTACCATTATGGAATGGCCTTCTTTGTCTCTTTTGATCTTTGTTGGTTTAAAGTCTGTTTTATCAGAGACTAGGATTGCAACCCCTGCCTTTTTTTGTTTTCCATTTGCTTGGTAGATCTTCCTCCATCCTTTTATTTTGAGCCTATGTTTGTCTCTGCACGTGAGATGGGTTTCCTGAATACAGCACACTGATGGGTCTTGACTCTTTATCCAATTTGCCAGTCTGTGTCTTTTAATTGGAGCATTTAGTCCATTTACATTTAAAGTTAATATTGTTATGTGTGAATTTGATCCTGTCATTATGATTTTAGCTGGTTATTTTGCTCGTTTGTTGATGCAGTTTCTTCCTAGTCTCGATGGTCTTTACATTTTGGCATGATTTTGCAGCGGCTGGTACCGGTTGTTCCTTTCCATGTTTAGCGTTTCCTTCAGGAGCTCTTTTAGGGCAGGCCTGGTGGTGTCAAAATCTCTCAGCATTTGCTTGTCTGTAAAGTATTTTATTTCTCCTTCACTTATGAAGCTTAGTTTGGCTGGATATGAAATTCTGGGTTGAAAATTCTTTTCTTTAAGAATGTTGAATATTGGCCCCCACTCTCTTCTGGCTTGTAGGGTTTCTGCCGAGAGATCTGCTGTTAGTCTGATGGGCTTCCCTTTTAGGGTAACCTGACCTTTCTCTCTGGCTGCCCTTAACATTTTTTCCTTCATTTCAACTTTGATGAATCTGACAATTCTGTGTCTTGGAGTTGCTCTTCTCGAGGAGTATCTTTGTGGCGTTCTCTGTATTTCCTGAATCTGAACTTTGGCCTGCCTTGCTAGATTGGGGAAGTTTTCCTGGATAATATCCCGCAGAGTGTTTTCCAACTTGGTTCCATTCTCCCTGTCACTTTCACGTACACCAATCAGTCGTAAATTTGGTCTTTTCACATAGTCCCATATTTCTTGGAGGCTTTGCTCGTTTCTTTTTATTGTTTTTTCTCTAAACTTCCCTTCTTGCTTCATTTCATTCATTTCATCTTCCATTGCTGATACCCTTTCTTCCAGTTGATCGCATCGGCTCCTGAGGCTTCTGCATTCTTCACGTATTTCTCGAGCCTTGGTTTTCAGCTCCATCAGCTCCTTTAAGCACTTCTCTATATTGGTTATTCTAGTTATACATTCTTCTAAATTTTTTTCAAAGTTTTCAACTTCTTTGCCTTTGGTTTGAATGTCCTCCCGTAGCTCAGAGTAATTTGATCGTCTGAAGCCGCCTTCTCTCAGCTCGTCAAAGTCATTCTCCATCCAGCTTTGTTCCATTGCTGGTGAGGAACTGCGTTCCTTTGGAGGAGGAGAGGCGCTGTGCTTTTTAAAGTTTCCAGTTTTTCTGTTCTGTTTTTTCCCCATCTTTGTGCTTTTACTTTTGGTCTTTGATGATGGTGATGTACAGATGGGTTTTTGGTGTGGATGTCCTTTCTGTTTGTTAGTTTTCCTTCTAACAGACAGGACCCTCAGCTGCAGGTCTGTTGGAGTACCCTGCAGTGTGAGGTGTCAGTGTGCCCCTGCTGGGGGGTGCCTCCCAGTTAGGCTGCTCGCGGGTCAGGGGTCAGGGACCCACTTGAGGAGGCAGTCTGCCCATTCTCAGATCTCCAGCTGCGTGCTGGGAGAACCACTGCTCTCTTCAAAGCTGTCAGACAGGGACATTTAAGTCTGCAGAGGTTACTGCTGTCTTTTTGTTTGTCTGTGCCCTGCCCCCAGAGGTGGAGCCTACAGAGGCAGGCAAGCCTCCTTGAGCTGTGGTGGGCTCCACCCAGTTGGAGCTTCAGGGCTGCTTCGTTTACCTAAGGAAGCCTGGGCAATGGCGGGCGCCCCTCCCCCAGCCTCGCTGCTGCCTTGCAGTTTGATCTCAGACCGCTGTGCTAGCAATCAGCGAGACTCCGTGGGCGTTGGACCCCCCGAGCCAGATGTGGGATATAATCTCGTGGTGCGCCGTTTTTTAAGCCTGTCAGAAATGCGCAGTATTCGGGTGGGAGTGACCCGATTTTCCAGGTGCCGTCCGTCACCCCTTTATTTGACTAGGAAAGGGAACTCCCTGACCCCTTGCACTTCCCGAGTGAGGCAATGCCTCGCCCTGCTTTGGCTCGCGCACGGTGCGTGCACCCACTGACCTGCGCCCACTGTCTGGCACTCCCTAGTGAGATGAACCCGGTACCTCAGGTGGAAATGAAGAAATCACCCGTCTTCTGCGTCGCTCAGGCTGGGAGCTGTAGACCGGAGCTGTTCCTATTCGGCCATCTTGGCTCCTCCCCGTGACTTTCAAATAAAACTGTAAGTGCTTGAATTCAAAGATAATCTCTATATAATCATTTTTTTTCTGAGAATGTGAAAATGTTGTAGCTCTTTTTGATAATGAATTTTAGGGGTTTGGTTTATTTATTACCCTTTGGTTCATTTTTTGGCTTATGCTTACCATTTCTTCTTTCTAAAATTACCCTTTAGTTACAACTGAATTGAAATACCAAAGTAATTATTTGTCATTATATATTTTTTAAAACTGAAATGCTGATCTGGAAAATGTCAGATAGTGAATGAAAGCCAATCTACATTTTCTAAGTGCTGCATTTACTTTCTTCTACATCATTTTAAAAAGAAGCTGATATATTAATAAAGATATTGTATTTATTCTCATAAAATTTATAACACTCTGTGTTACCACAGTATTTATGACAAAGAACCATTTCCAAGAGAAGAGCTGACAGGATTTTTATGATGAATGCTTACTCAAATGGGGTTTTCAGTTTAATGACGGTGTCAAATCCAGGGATAAGCAGGTAACCCTACAGAAAGTTGGAGAACAAAATTGGGAAATCTAAAAGAAGGAAATAGTAAGGCAAGTCTCATAGCTAATATTAAGACCAGTCATGTGATATTAGAGAACAAGACCTAGGAAGACACTGAGCAAGAGTGACATAAGCTTGTAGCCTTTGAGTTACTCAAAACTATGGAGACAAAATGTAGAGCCTAGATTTTGAGAATGAAGCAGAAACACAGTGATCAGGGCATCAAGCCAGGATTGGATCTCTTTTATCTAAAGATGAGATTAATCTGAATAACTGGGACATGGCTCAGCCAGCAGATAGAAGGCAATAGCTGAACCTGAGGAGGATAAAGGACTACAAAAGTTTGGGAATGGGTTTAGGCAAGGGTTTCTCAACATTAGCACTATCGGCATTTTGGATTGGATAATTAATTCCTTGTTGTGGAAGGCTGCCTGGGTAGTATATTTAGCAGCATCTCTGGCCTCTACTCCGTAGATGCCAGTAGCACTCACCACCTTACAGTTGTAATATCCAAAAATATCTCTAGACAGTGCAAAATGTCCCCTGTGGGGCCAAATCACCTCAGGTTGAGAGCCACCTGTTTAGAGTATAGGATAGGCTCAATTGGCTGTAGAGACAAGCCTAACTATATGGCTGAGGAGTTTGAAGTGGAGAGCAAGAAGCAGTTTCTGACCACCAATAAAAGAGAGTGCACTAAAAATGGACTTGAAAATGGTCTAGTAATTTTTCTTGAAGGAATATTAACACAAATGCTACTGACCACAAAGAACTTGGTTCTTTGCTTGCCTTCCAACAACTGATTGAATAAATATATACTGTGCTTCTTTATGCCTGGCTTTAGAGTGGACAAATAAATGGAATAAGCGAGGACCTGGTTCCAGGTTATTCTATACAGAATAACCTGGTTCCTAGTCAGGGATCATAAGGAAATAAGGAATTGTAGAATTTATCATGGAATAAACTAGATTCTTCAAATGCCAAAATTATTCTCTGGCAATGCCTATTTGCACTAAAATAGTAATTTGATAACTTGGGTAAAAGGCCTGAAGAAGTGATGCAGAATTCAAAAATAATTAATTTAGCTTATGGAAATAGTTTGTTCACTGTGACAGAGGGAAGTATGCTTGAATTACTCTTACTCAAAGAAAGGTTTCTTGACACATTTGACTACTACCACTGAGTAACATATGCATGGTAAATGATTAATGATAACTTGGAGAAGTAATTTAACAAGTACTTCTTAAACCTCAATGTACATAGAAATTATCTGGGGTGGAGATTTTGTTAAAATGCAGATTCTAATTTTGTGGGTCTGAAGTGAGGCCTGAAATTGTGCAGTTCTAATAACCTCCCAGGTGATGCTTAGGCTTGGCCCACAGACCACAACTGAAGTAAAGATTTCAATTCACTGGTTGTTAATTTCTTCATCCATAAAATGAAGGGTTTAGGTTATATAAATCTATGGTTTCTTTTAACAATGACTTTTGTTGGTCTGCCTGATTTTGAATTAATACCTTCTATGTTGTTTTTGTTTCCATTCGGTTTAGGGTAAGAACGTATTCCTTTCAAAATCTTATTGATTTTTTTTCTTTTGTTACCTGTGTAATTATGTACTATAATAGCTTATATAAATAACTTTCTTTTCCCCATTCTAGCCAGACAGAGAGAAACCTGAAATAAAGTGCTTTTTGGATAAAGCATTTAGCTTTTTGCTATAAGAGAGTTGCCAGAAAAAAAAAAAAAAAAAAAAGCAAGTTTGTATATTTGGCTTTCCAGGGCTACTTTGTATCCGTCTGGGTAATAATTTCCCATATGGTTTGGAAAGAGTGAAAGCAGAATTTGGAGGCTGAGTGGCTTTTCCAATTTGATTACTACAAGAAAGAGAGAATCAGATTCTTCACAGTGGATTCACAAATGTATTCCAGATTTTTCTCCCATTTGAATCTAGCTTGAGACATATAAAACCAAATATTGTGTTTTTCAGTATCCACAATTATGAATTTTCTGTGTGATCACCCCCTTTGACTGATATGGATAACAAGGGATTGACTGTACAGACTCAATGTACACTCAAATTGTTTCATGGAAAGCCTTTTACCTGCCAGTTCTCATACGCCATTTTTGAGTGTGTCATCTCTTAATTGCAGCTGATTTCCACTTCCTAAAGAAAGGTTTTCATTTGGAGTTTTAGAATACTGTGTCCTTGTGTAAAGGTGCCATTTTGGTCTTAATTTAGTTAAGATGCTAGAGCCACTCAGATGTACCCTGCTTCTTATGAAGATGTTTATTTTGGAGGCAGGTAATCCATGTACAGGTGTGATATGTGAAATTTTGCAATCCTACAAAAATGCTCTTTTCATTAACTGTAGCATTGGTTACTGTAAACCAAATCTTCTTTTTAGATGTGTATTCACAGCTCATGTCAACATCAGTGGGTGTCACATGTGTGTTTATAAGGGAGGGTTCTTGCTAAATGTTGTTTCTATTCTCCATATCTGAACTTTAATGGGTGGCTCTGGATCACAGGAAGTATGCTGTATTTGTAAAATTAATTTACCATTTGCTTTTTAAATATATATGGTAGTTACACCTCTGTAGTAAGTACCACATATAGCTAAACAAAACAGAACATAGAGATACATCTGCCTTCTAGGACATTCAGTCCTAGAAATAATTCTCAGTGGATCTCTCTGTCTCTCTCTCTCTCTCTCTCTCTCAACCTCTCTCTCTCCGTGTGTGTGTTTGCATATGCATGTTGGTGGGGAGAAGGAAGAGAGTGTTTGGGTGCATTATTACAGTAAGAAATTGAAGACATTTTATCTTTTACATAGTTTTGTTTTTTCTGTTATTGGGGCAAAAAAGAATGCTAAAAGAAGGTGGAAGCAGGACAATGAACAGAGCATCATAGAAAAGAGTGAAGGGCAAAGATAGGAATTAAAAGCTTATTCCAAGGGGCAAGAGTACATTTTCAGTCATGGTTAGTATGTGGGCTACCTTGATCCATCTTTGTTTCTGTGGATGTTATACATCGACAGGAGAGAGATTTCATGAAATACATTTCTTCCCTTTTGTAGGCTGGCTTATCCACTGTAAAATTTGTGCATTGTATTACTGTTCAGTAGCTCAGAAATACTGCTTCTATGCCTTTCTAAATGATGGCTGTAGAAATCCTGTAGTAAACAAGCATGGTTGGTCTGCTTATGGGGTGGGGGGAGGGGGGAGTACTAGCATTAGGAGATATACTTAATGCTAAATGACGATTTAATGGGTGCAGCACACCAACATGGCACATGTATACATATGTAACAAACCTGCACGTTGTGCACATGTACACTAAAACTTAAAGTATTATAATAATGAAATTTAAAATAAAAGAAAAACAATATTAGTGCCATCTTTCTGTTTTGGAAAAATGGCTGCAGGCTATTTTATCAGCAGTTTTACCACACTGACACTTTCATATTACAAAGTTTGAATTACTTGACAGTAACCCTTTTTTTTCCAAGTGATCTTTTTGTTGTTGTTTATCTTGTTCATCTGTGTTCTCCCTGATTGCACTGGCTTACCTAACTGGACAGCTGGAATATGTTAGAGAGTAGGCTGCTCTGAGAAACAAAATTGTTCCTTTGGAAAATTTTCCAGGAGTTACTGGAAGATCTTTAAGGCCCCTTTCATTTCGAAAAGACTTGGGTTCTACATCTAGTGCAGTCTTTTGTTTGAATTTATTTTCCTTTATCAAGAAGAATGCTCTCTGTGAATGCCTTTAGTGACTACTGAGACCATGAAAAAAAAAATAGCCTAATAAAGAAAACATAACAATTAAAATATTTTTCAGAATCTTTTATATTTTTGTTTATTTATGTCTGTTAACTTGGAACTCCTATTTCTGGTTCCTGTCCTCCATCCACGCTAGAAGGTTAGTTTCTTAATAGCATTATCAGGAATTTTTTTTACAAGGCCATTGCCTTGCTGGTTAAATGACCTTTAACTAAAAAGAGAGAGATGTCTTATATTTCAAGGAAATACTATAAGTCAATGTTAATGCAATTTTTTTTGTTGAAAATAAATCATGTGACTGTGATATCACTTTTAGCTTCATGTTTTGCCATGGTAATATTTTAATGCATTCTCTTTACTCTTGCTAAAGCTAAAAATAAATGCTTGGTAAATCTGATGCTTCCTGAATTTATGACATGACTGACTTCTTCATACTCAATAACATTTATTAAAACGATATTTTCTTGTAAGAAGCTCTAAAAACAGATTCTTTTGTCCCTTTATTTTTTTTTCTATTGTCTCCTTCACTCAAGAGGTAGCTAAGCTATTCTTTACTTATTTAGTAATTCTGTTGCAATTTGATATTTACTATTATTCTACACAATGCCTGAAAAGGAAAGAGGCAATCTTATAAAATGACTTCCTACTGAGGTTTTATCCTGGCCTCATTAGCTCTGCACTCAAGATCCATAAAAACAGCTTACCAGATGTGTGGTTTATAACTGCTTGGATAGCTCTTTCTGCCGGAAGATTTATAAATCTTAGCTCATACCATGTATAGACCATGATTTTTAGTTCCAGATAGCTATCACGCATCCTTATCACTGGCACCAGCAATTCTTTGTACCTGGGCTCTGTAGTGTATTATCTCATTACTGACTGGCAGTTGAGTCATAGCATATCGACCCTTGAAAATCTCCTCTTAATAACTGCCATGTATTATTCAGTTAGCACTGCTTCATAATTAATACTCTGTTAACATGCTATCTACTGGTATCACGATGGTAATTTCCTGCTCACACATGGCATACTATTGATATTCTCAAAGGAGTTTCTATTCAATGCTATGATTTTTAGAGACAGAGTCCTCATTACTAGTCAAATCTGTGATCCTGGGTAAATAATGCTCATGTTTTTATCTTATATGTCTCACCAGCCAGGAAAAGAGAGCCACAATTTATTAGTTTTGCCAAGCTGGCTGGAAGTGATATTATAAAATAATTAGATTACATTTCATGAGTAGTTTGTGGCTTTACAGAATTAGGCATCTAGAGTTATAAAGAGCTCACATAAACCCTCATTCCCCGTGTAATTTCACTGATGCAAAAACTGAGGTCCAGGGAAAGTTGTCTTCCAGTTAGTGTCCGAGGTTGAAGCTAGCTCTCTTAACTTCCAGTCGGGACTCTTTCAACATGAAGCTCTTAAGTTTTCATCATCATATCTTACTGAGTTATACAGGGTCATTACTCATGCTATACCTGCCATATAAAAATCCACTGAAACACTAATTCTAGTGATTAAAGGGCTGCTTTGCAAGTTGTTACCTTGGAATCCTGTGGCAGGCTGAAATTGGGCACAACTTCACACAACGTAAGATTTAAAATGTAAAATAAAACTGGAAAGTAATGTTGCTAATGTTATTATTTTAAATTATTGTGCCCCAGAGAAAAAAGAGGTTACCTTATGTGTGTAAGTGCTTTGAATACAATTGATTCACAAATGTGAATTGATAGCATTGCCTTTTATTAGTTAAACAACAAATAGTTCTCTGGCGGAAACAGGTCTTTTTTCATGCCCCCAAGTTTTAGCCATGCAGGTACTATTGGTGCTAGTTATGCCCGTATCATTCGCTTGTTGAATGAATGTGTTGAGATTAAATGTATCAACATATGTAGATGAGTTAAAAGAATGTCTGGTGTGTGATAAATTCTGTGTTAGCTATTATGTTTTTAAAATAATGGTTAAGAACCTGGAGTCTGCAGTGGGAATGCATGGATGCAAATACTTGGTTCTACCGTTTACTTCCTATGTTACTTTGCTCTAAATTTTTTTTTGCCTCAGTTTATTGATCTATAAAATGGGAACATCGATAGTATGTAACATAGGTCATTTATAAGGATATACATTAATACACATAAAGCACTTAGAACAGTGTCTGGCAGACAGAAAACACTTTATAAGTGGTAGTTGGTATTTTTAAAGGTTATTCATGCATTCATTTATCTTAAAATACCTTTTTCACCCCTGCTATGTTCTACTCATGATGGGGATAAAGTCCATAGAGGGAAGAAGGCAAGTAAACATGCACTCTACAGATTTATTAATAATATGCTGTCAGGAATGCAGTGTGTTCACATTCTACCGAGTTATTAATATGCTGTGATGAATGCAGTGTGTCCACAGCATAAAAGCATCCTACTCTGTGTGTTTATGTACGTTAGTGGGCGAGTGACTGGGAGGTGGGATTGGTTAGGGTGGTAGATGAGAGATCAATGGCTCAAGGAAGGCTTCCTAGAAGAGATTTTATTTAGGCTGATAAATAAAGCATGAATAGGAGTTAGGAGGGGGCAAGTGGGATGAAAGGAAGAGAGAATTCATTAGCAAAGGAAATACAGAGAAAGCACGGTAAAATGCAAGCGTATAAAATAACTTGAGAATGGCAGCCCTAGGAAACTAATACACCGAGACACGTTGGTTAGTTTACTTGTGTTTGTTTGGCTAGCTTTGTTTTTTTTTTTTTTTTTTTAATATGTCACTAAGCATTGTTTGGCTTTCCCCTCCCCCCAGTTAACTATCTACAGAATTTTTGGATTGGGTAGAGGTAACTAGCTTCAGTGTCAATTTACTGACATATACAAAGAGAAAATGATTGAGATTCTGCATCTTCAAATCATTTAAAAGGTTTAAAAATACTTTAAAGTGTGTTAAGCTCATTATTATTATTAGTTGTTCCTATTATTATCTTCAGCATTATTGTTTTCTATTGGACAAAGAGCTACCATTTGTTTGCAAAGTGCACAGAATGTGAGTTCATGCTTTCTTCTTTGACATAGATGCCTTTCTTCCTTTTTCCCCACCTTTATGGGCCGCTGTAACAAATTCTCACAAACTTAGTGGCTTAAAACAAAAGACATTTATTTTTCTCTCAGTTTTGGATGCCAGAAGTCCAAAATTAAGGTGTCATCAGGGTTGTGCTTCCTCAGGAGCCTCTCAAGGAGAATTCATTTGTTGCTTTCTCCAGCTTCTGAGGGTGATAGGCTTTCTTTTATTCATGGCTGCATCACAGCGATCATTGCCTCCTTGGTCAAATTGCCTTTTCCTCTTAGGTCTAATATCCCTCTGCCTTGTTCTCATAAGAACACTTGTCATTGGATTTAGGGCCCACTGGGATAATCCAGGATAACTTCTTTGGTAAGCATTCATTGCATTACTCACCTTCTCATCTGTTTTCCCCTTTTACATTTCCACCCTTGAATCTTTTCCTAAGAAGATCAACAACCATATTGTTTTAAGCTATCTTAATGTCTTCAATTTCATAATACTTTCACATAAATGCTAATACCATTTGTATATTAACTCTGAGGTAGTCATTTCAGAATTATTGCTCTTTATAGGTGGAGAAACAGACAGGAAAGCCAAAGGAGCAGAGCTAGGCTTAAATCCCAGTTTGTTGTTCTTTCTGTTACATGAAACTTTTGTGGGCACGTAAATCACTTGGTACCTTGTTAAAATACAGATTATGATACTGTTCATATGGGAGGAGACTGAGACTTTTCATTTCTATGATATTCACAGGCAATTTTGATGCTGCTGGTCTTCAAGGCATACGTTGGGTAACAAAGACGCTTTAGGTGATAGATTTATAACAGAAGTTAGAAGTCCAATCTAAAAGGTTTTAAATAATTATAGCTTTAATCTTTATTTGTCTGGTTTGTGACCACGTGTTTACAAAGCAAAATAAAATTACAGATATTTGAATGTCAAAAACAGATATGACATTTAAACTCTCACAGAATAGAGAAGACAGAGAAAGATGGTGGAAGAGAAGGCTCCATTGATCGTCTCCCACTCCCAACAAACACCCAGTTAGCAAGCATCTACACAGAAAAAGCACCTTCATGACAACCAAAAACCAAGTAAGCACTCATAGCACTAGTTTTAACTTCATATTTCTGAAAGAGGCACTGAAGAGATAAAAAAAAAAAAGTACTGAATCACCAATACCACCTAACCTCCCACCACTGGCAGCAGCAGCAGCTGCATGGTGTGGAGAGCTTTTCTGGGCACTAAGGGAGGGAGAATACAGCAATTGTGAGGCTTGAACTCAGTGCCGTCCTGTTAGAGCAGAAAGGAAAACCAGACCAAACTCAGCTGATGCCTGCCCTTGGAGAATGAATTTAAAGTAGCCCTAGCCAGAGGAGAATCACCCAACCCAGCTTAAGGACCCAAACTTGAGTTCCCACAAACCTTACCACCATGGGCTGCAGCACTCTCTATCTCCAAGTAAACTTGAAAGGCAGTCTAGGCCATAAGGACTGCGACTCTTAGGCAAGTCTTAGGGCTGAACTGGGCCCAGAGACAGTGGACTGGGTAGGCACATGACCTACTGATACACCAGCTGTGGCAGGGTCAAGGGCATGCTGGCATCACCTCTTTTCTAACCCCAGGCTACACAACTTTTGGCTCCAAAAGAGATCCCTTCCTTCTGCTTGAGGAGAGGAGAGGGAAGAGCGGGGAGGACTCTGTCTTGCATCTTGGATACCAGCTCAAACAAAGCAGGATAGGGCACAAGACAGAGTTGTGAGGGCTCTGTTCAGGCCGTAGTTCCCAGATAACATTTCTAGGCACACGCTGGGCCAGAAAAGAACCTGCTTCCTTGAAGGAAAAGACCCATTCCTAATAACATTCATCACCTGCCAACTGGAGAGCCCTTGGGCACTGAGTAACCAGCAGTGATACCAAGGAACTACATCAAAGGTCTTGGGTGAACCTCTGAGGCTTGCTGGCTTCAGGTGAGACTCAGAACAATATCAGCTGTGGTACCTATGGGGCAAAACTCCTTCTTGAGAAAAGAAGAGGGAAAAGAAAAGGGGACTTTATCTGGCACCTTAGGTAACAGCATGGCCACAGAGGAGCAGAGCACCAAGCGGGCTTTGGAAGTTCCCAATTCCAGGACATGACTCTTAGATAGCATTTATGGCCTTAACCTGGGTCAGAAAGGAGCCCACTTCTCTGAAAGGAGAGTCCCAGGCCAGACAGCATTTATCACAAGATGACTTAAGAGCCTTTGGGACTTAAGGGAACATTGGTTGGAAGTCTGGCAGTACACTTCACGGCCTGAGGTGGCAGTGGTTACAGGGTGAGACTCCTCTGCCTTTGGAAAGGAGAGGGAAGAGTGGGAAGAACTGTGATTTGAGTGCCAGCTCAGATGCAATACAGTAGAACACCAGGTAGACTTCTAAGGCTTTTGACTATAGTCCCTGACCCCTGGACAGCACATCTGGACCCATGTGGGACCTGGGGAATCTTGACACCCTGAAGGGAAAAACACAGGCCTGGCTGGCTTTGCCATTGGCTGATTGTAAAGCCCTGGGGTCTTGAGTGAACATAGGCAGTAGCTAGAGAGTGGTTCCAGCAAGCCTTCAGTGAGACCCAGCACTGTTCTGGCTTCAGGTCTGACCCAGCACAGTCATAGCAATGGTGTCAACAGGGGTTCTTGTGTCACTCCACCTTCAGCTTTAGGTGGCTCAGAACAGACAGAAAGACTCTGTTTGTTTGGCAGAAAGTAAGGGAAGAGAATAAGAGTCTCTGCCTGGTAATCCAGAAAATTCTCCTAGATCTTGTCCAAGACCATCAAGGCAGTACCTCTATGAGTCTGGAAGAATCATAATGTTACTGGACTTTGGGTGCCCCCTAAAGGGGACACAGGTTAGATCACAACACCCAATCACTCAAACATTTGGAAAGCCTTCCCAAGGAAGATGGCTACAAATAAGCTCAGACAGTGAAAACTATCATAAATACAGAACTCTTCAATGCCCAGACACCAAAGAACATCTACTGGCATAAACACCATCTGGGAAAGCATTACCTCATTAAACGAACTAAGTAAGGCAACAGGAATCAATCTTAGAGAAACAGAGATTTGTGATGCTTCAGGCAGAGAATTCAAAGGAGCTGTGTTGAGGAAACTCAAAGAAATTCAAGATAACACAGAGAAGGAATTCAGAATTCTATCAGATAAATTTAACCAAGATATCGAAATAATTAAAAAGGCTCTAATATTCACGCCTGTAATCCCAGCACTTTGGGAGGCCGAGGAGGGCGGGTCATGAGGTCAGGAGATGAGACCATCCTGGCTAACACAGTGAAATCCCGTCTCTACTAAAAATACAAAAAATTAGCTGGGTATGGTAGTGGGCACCTGTAGTCCCAGCTACTTGGGAGGCTGAAGCAGGAGAATGGCGTGAACCCAGGAGGTGGAGCTTGCAGTGAGCCGATATCACGCCACTACACTCCAGCCTGGGCGACAGAGCGAGACTCTGTCTCCCCCCGCAAAAAAAAAAAGGCTCAAATATAAATTCTGTAGCTGAAAAATGCAATTGGCATACGGAAGAATGTATCAATATATTTTAATAGCAGAATCGATAAAGCAGAATAAAGAATTAGTGAGCTTGAAGATAGGCTCAGAACACACAAATGAAAAAAGAATTTAAAAAATGAAGAATGCCTACGGGATCTAGAAAATAACCTCAAAGAGCAAATCTAAGAGTTACTAGCATTAAAGAGGAGGTAAAGAGACAGGGGTAGAAAGTTTATTCGAAGGGATAATAACAGAAAACTTCCTACACCTGGAGAAAGATATCAGTATCCAAGCACAGGAACATTACAGAACACAAAGCAGATTTAACCCAAAGAAGACAACCTCAAGGCATTTAATAACACACTCCCAAAGGTCAAAAATTAGGAAACAGTCCTATAAGGAGCAAGAGACAAGAAACAAACACAATGGAGCCCCAATACATCTGGCAGCAGACTTTTCAGTGGAAACCTTACAGGTCAGGAGAGAGTGGCACGACATAGTTAAAGTGCTGAATGAAAAAAAAAATGTACCCTAGAACAGTATGTCTGGCAATAATATCCTTCAAACTCATAAGAAGAAGAAATAAAGATTTTACCAGATAAACAAAAGCTGAGGGATTTCATCAACACTAGACCTGAACTACAAGAAATGGTAAAGGGAATATTACAATCAGAAAGAAAAAGACACTGGCCAGACACAGAGGCTTATACCTGTAATCCCAGGACATTGGGAGGCCAAGATTGGTCCACATGGTGAAACCCCATCTCTACTAAAAATACAAAAAATTAGCCAAGCACGGTGGTGCATGCCTGTAATCCCACCTACCCGGGAGGCTGAGGCAGGAAAATCACTTGAACCCAGGAGGTGGAGGCTGCAGTGAGCCAAGATTGTGCCACTGCACTCCAGCCTGGGCAACAGAATGAGACTCTGTGTCAAAAAAATAATAATAAAATAAAATAAAAAAGAAAGAAAGAAAAGGACATTAATGTGCAATAAGTAATCACCTGAAGGTGTAAAACTCACTGGTAGTAAGTACACAGAAAAACACAGAATATTAGAACACTGTAACTGAGGAATGTAAACTACTCTTATGCTAAGTAGAAAGACTAAACAATGAACCAATAAAAAGTAATAACTGAGGTGACATTTCAAGACATAGTCAGTACAATAAGATATAAATAGAACAACAGGTAGTTAAAAAGTGGAGGGGGGACAAAGTTAAGGCATATAATTTTATTAGTTTTCTTTTTGCTTGTTTGTATGTTTATGCAAATAATGTTACATTGTTAGCAGGATACAATAATGGCTTATAAGATAATATTTTCAAGCCTCATGATAATACAAACCAGAAAACACACAATAAACACACAAACAATAAAAAGCAAGAAACTAAATTATATCACCAGAGAAAGTCACTAGATGAAGACAGAGAAGACAAGAAAGAAGAAAGAGAATACCACAAAACAACCAGAAAACAAATAATAATATGGCAGGAGTAAGCCCTTACTTATCAATAATAACATTAAATGTAAATGGACTAAGCTCTCAAATCAAAAGACATAGACATGCTGAATGGATGAAAAAAGAAGACCCATTGATTTGTTGGCTACAAAAACACATTTCACCTATAAAGACACACTTAGACTGAGAATAAAGGGATGGAAAAAGATATTCCAAAAGATTGTCTCAAGTGATCTGCCCAACTTGACCTCCCAATGAAAACCAAAAAAGAAGAAATAACTATTATTATGTCAGACAAAATATTAAATATATATGCCTCCAACACCAGAGGACCCAGAAATATAATTATTAGAGCTAAAGACAGAGATAGGTCCTAAGACAATCAGAGCTGGAGACTTCAATGCCCCGCTTTCATCACTGGACACATCTTCCTTACAGAAAATCAGAAAAGAAACATCAGACTTAATCTGCACTATATAACAAATGGATCTAATAGATATTTGCAGAACATTTCATCCAAGAGCTGGAAAATACACATTCTTTTACTCAGCACAGGGATCATTCTCAAGGGCAGAACGTATGCTAGGTAATAAAACAAGTCTTAAAACATTCAAAAAATTGAAATAATATCAGGCATAGTCTCTGATAACAATGGAAGAAAACTAGAAACCAATGACAAGAGTAATTTTGGAAATTATATAATGCAAACATAAAAATAAAATAATATGCTCCTTAATGACCAGTGGGTCAATGAAGAAATTACAAAAGAAATTGAAAAATTTCTGGAAGCAAATGATAATAGAAACACAACATACCAAATCTATGGAGTACAGCAAAAGCAGTTGTGTTAGTTTATTTTCATGCTGTTGATAAAGACATACCTGAAACTGGTAACAAAAAGAAGTTTAATTGGAATTAAAGTTTCACATGGCTGGAGAGGCCTCAGAATCATGGCAGGAGGTGAAAGGCACTTCTTACATGGCAGCGGCAAGAGAAAAATGAGGAAGAAGCAAAAGCGGAAACCCCTGATAAACCCGTCAGATCTCATGAGACTTATTATCATAAGAATAGCATGGGAAAGACCAGCCCCCATAATTCAATTACCTCCCCCTGGGTCCCTCCTACAACACTTGGAAATTCTGGGAGATACAATTTAAGTTGATATTTGGATGGGGACACAGTCAAACCATATCATTCTGCTCCTGGCCCCTCCAAATCTCATGTCCTCACATTTCAAAACCATTCATGCCTTCCCAACAGTCCCCCAAAGTCTTAACTCATTTCAGCATTAACCCAAGAGTCCACAATCCAAAGTTTCATCTGAAACAAGGCAAGTCCCGTCTGCCTATGAGCCTGTAAAATCCAAAGCAAGCTAGTTACTTCCTGGATACAATGGGGGTACAGGTATTGGGCAAATGCAGCCATTCCAAATGGGAGAAATTGAACAAAACAAAAGGGTTAGAGGGCCCATACAAGTCCAAAATCCAGTGGATCAGTCAAATTTTAAGGATCCAAAATGATTTCTTTTGACTCCAGGTCTCGCATCCAGGTCACACTGAGGCAAGATGTGGATTCCCAAGGTCTTGGGCAGCTCCACCTCTGTGGCTTTGCAGGGTACAGCCTTCCTTCCTGATGCTTTCTTGGGATGGCATTTACTGTCTGCGGCTTTTCCAGGCACACAGTGCAAACTGTCAGTGGATCTATCATTCTGGTTTCCGGACGATGGTGGCCCTCTTCTCACAGCTCCACTAGGCAGTACCCCAGTAGAACTCTGTGTTGAGGCTCCGACTCCACATTTCCCTTCCATACTGCCCTGGCAGAGGTTCTCCATGAGGGCCCCACCGCTGCAGCAAACTTTTGCCTGAGCATCCAGGTGTTTCCATAAATCTTCTGAAATCTAGGCGGAGGTCCCCAAACCTCAATTCTTGACTTCTGTGCACCAGGAGACTCAACACCACATGGAAGCTACCCTCTGAAGCCATGGCCCAAGCTGTACATTGGCCCCTTTCAGCCATGGCTGGAGCAGCTGGAACACAGGGCATCAAGTTGCTAGGCTGCACACAGCATGGAGACTCTGGGCCCAGCCCATGAAACTACTTTTTTTCTCCTGGGACTCAGGGCCTGTGAGGTAAGGGGCTGCTGTGAAGGTCTCTGACATTTCCTGGAGACATTTTCCCCATGGTCTTGGGGATTAACATTAGTCTCATTGCTACTTATGCATATTTCTGCAGCCGGCTTAAATTTCTCCTAAAAAAATGGGTTTTTCTTTTCTACTGCATCATCAGGCTGCAAATTTTCTGAATTATATGCTCTGTTTCCTTTTTAAAATGGAATGCTTTTAACAGTCACCTTTCGAATGCTCTGCTGCTTAGAAATTTCTTCCACCAGATACCCTAAATTATCTCTCTCAAGTCCAAAGTTCCACAAATCTCTAGGGCAGGGGCAAAATGCCACTAGTCTCTTTGATAAAACACAACAAGAGTCACCTTTGCTCCAGTTCCCAACAAGTTCCTCAGCCTGGACTTTATTGTTAATTTCACTATCAGCATTTTTGTCAAAGCCATTCAACAAGTCACTAGGAGGTTCCAAACTTTCCCACATTTTCCCGTCTTCTGAGCCCTCCAAACTGTTCCAACCTATGACTGTTACCCAGTTCCAAAGTCGTTTTCACATTTTTTGGTATCTTTTCAGCAACGTCCCACTCTACTGGTACCAATTTACTGTATTAGTTTGTTTTCATGCTGCTGATAAAGACATACATGAAACTGGGAACAAAAAGAGGTTTAATTGGACTTAAACTTCCACATGACTTGGGAGGCCTCAGAATCATGGTGGGAGGTGAAAGGCACTTCTTACATGGTGGTGGCCAGAGAAAAATGAGGAAGAAGTAAAAGTTGAAACCTCTGATAATCCTGTCAGATCTCATGAGACTTATTAGCTATCATGAGAATAGCAAGGGAAATGCCCCAATGATTCAATTACCTACCCCCTGGGTCTCTCCCACAACACGTGGGAATTCTGGGAGGTACAATTCAAGTTGAGATTTGGATGGGGACACAGCCAAACCATATCAGCAGGACTAAGGTGGAATTTTATATCTGTAAGTGTGTACATCAAAACAGAGAAAATACTGCAATTAAACAATCTTAACAACTAGTCTTAAAGGACTAGAAAATAAAGAACAAACCAAACCCCAAATTAGTAAAATAAATAAATAAATAAAGATCAGAGCAGAAATAAATGAAACTGAAATAAAGAAAACAATACAAAAGATCAGTTAAACAAAACGTTTTTTTTTGAAAAGTCAAACGAAATTGACAAATCTGTAGCCAGACTAGGAAAAAAGGAGAGATGATCCAGATTAATTAAATCAGAAATAAAAAAGGAAACATTAAAACTAATACTGCAGAAATTCAAAGGATCATAAGTGGTCACTATGAGCAACTAGATGTCAATAAATTGGAAAACTAGAAAAAATGGAGAAATTCCCAGATACATACAACTAACCTAGACTGAACCAGGAAGAAATCCAAACCTGAATAGACTAATAACAAGTTACAAGTTCAAAGCTGTAATAAAAATCTGCCAGTAAAGAAAATCCCAGGACTTGATGATTTTACTCCCAAATTCTATACCAGTCCTATTCAAACTATATAGAAAAATAGAGATGGAGGGAATACTTCCAAATTAGTTCTATGAGGCCAGTATTACCTGATACCAAAACTAGACAAAGGCACATCAAAAAAATAAAAAAAAAGAAAAGAAAAGAAAGGAAACTACAGGCCAATATCTCTGATGAATATTGATGCAAAAGTCCTCAACAAAATAGGAGAAAACCATATTCAACAATACATTAGAAAGATCATTTGTCATGATGAAGTGGGATTTATCCCTGGGATGCAAGGTTGGGTTAACATATGCTAATCAATCAATGAGATACATCATATCAACAAATTAAGGATAAATACCATATGATAATTTCATGCTGAAATTGAAATTTATCAAAAAGCATTTGATAAATTCAACATCCATTCATGATAAAAGACCTCAAAAATACTGGGGAGAGAAGAAACATACCTCAACATAATAAAAGCCATATATGACAGACCCATAGCTAGTATCATACTGAATGGGGAAAAACTGAAAGCCTTTCCTTTAATACCTGTAACACTACAAGAATGTCCACTGTCACCGCTGATATTCAAAATAATACTGGAAGTCCCAGCTAGAGCAATCAGCCAAGATAAATCTATAATAGCATCCAAATTGAAAAGGAAGATGTCAAATTATCCTTATTTGCAGATGATCTTATATTTGGAAAAACATAAAGACACCACAAGAACACTATTATAACTGATAAGTAAAGTTGTAGGATATAAGATCAACATACAAAATCAGTAGCATTTCTATAAGCCAACAGTGAGCAATATGAAAAATAATAATTAATACCATTTAAAATAGCCACACATAATTTTAAATACCCAGCAATTAACTTTACCAAATAAGTGACAGATCTCTATAATAAAAGCTATAAAACACCGATAAACCAAATTGAAGAGGACACCAAAAGTTGGAAAAATGTTCCATATTCATGAATTAGAAGGCTCAATATTGTCAAAATGTCCATACTACCCAAAGTAATCTACAAATTCAGTGAAATCCCTGAATCAAATACCAATGATACACTTCACAGAAATAGAAAAAACATTATTAAATTTGTATGAAACCACAAAAGACCCAGAATGACCCAAGCTATCCTAAGCAAAACAAAACAAACATCAACAACAAAAACCTAAACACAAACAAACAAAAAAACTGGAGGAATCACATTACCGGACTTCAAATTATGCTACATAGCTATAGTAATAAAAACAGAATGTTATTGGCATAAAAATAGATACATAGATTAATGGAACAGATTAGAGAACCCAGAAACAAATCTATACACATATAGTGAGCTCATTTTCAGCAAAGGTGCCAAAAACATACACTGGTGAAAATACAATCCATTCAATAAATAGTGCCAGGAAATTAAAATGAAAATGAGGGCCAGGCGCGGTGGCTCACGCCTGTAATCCCGGCACTTTGGGAGGCCGAGGTGGGTGGATCACGAGGTCAGGAGATTGAGACCATCCTGGCTAACACGGTGAAACCCTGTCTCTACTAAAAATACAGAAAATTAGCCGGGCGAGGTGGCGGGCGCCTGTAGTCCCAGCTACTCGGGAGGCTGAGGCAAGAGAAATGCGTGAACCCCGGAGGTGGAGTTTACAGTGAGCTCGAGATTGCACCACTGCACTCCAGCCTGGGTGACAGAGCGAGACTCTGTCTCAAAAAAAAAAAAAAAAAAAAGAGAAGAAAAAAAAGAAAAAGAAAAGAAAAGAAAATGAGATACTGCCTTACTCCTGCAAGAATAGCCATAATTTAAAAATAAAAAAAAAATTACATGTTGGTGCATGGATGTGGTGAAAAGAGAACAAATTTACACTGATGGTGAGAAAGTTAACTAGTACAACTACTATGGAAAACAGTATGGAGATTCCTTAAAGAACTAAAAGAACCAGCCGGGCGCGGTGGCTCACGCTTGTAATCCCAGCACTTTGGGAGGCCAAGGTGGGCGGATCACGAGGTCAGGAGATTGAGACCACAGTGAACCCTGTCTCTACTGAAAATACAAAAAAAAAAAAAAAAAATTAGCCGGGTGTGGTGGCGGGCACCTGTAGTCCCAGCTACTCGGGAGGCTGAGGCAGGAGAATGGTGTGAACCTGGGAGGTGGAGCTTGCAGTGAGCAGAGATAGCGCAGATGCACTCCAGCCTGGGCGACAGAGCGAGACTCTATCTCAAAAAAAAAAAAAAGAAAAAAGAACTAAAAGAACTACCATTTGATACAGAGATCTCCCTACTGGGTATCTACCCAGAGGAAAAGAAGTCATTATATGAAAAAGATACTTACGTAAGCATGTTTATAGCCACACAATTCACAATTTCAAAAACATAGCACCAGCCCAAAAGTCCATCAATCAATGGGTGGGTAAAGAAAGTGTTTATATATATATAATATAATATATTATGGCTATATAAAATATAATGGGCTTTAGGAACTCTGGGGGAAGGCAGGATAAAAGACTACACATTACGTGGGCAGTCCATGATGGCCAATTAGAAGCAGCTGAGGTCCGTGGCTCTCCCAAAGAAGAATGAAAACAATGAGTGAATTCTGCACATTCAACTGAGGTATCCAGGTTCTCACATTTGGACTGACTAGGTGGTCTGCGTGACCCACAGAAAGTGAGAAAAAGCAGGATAGGTCAACAGCCCACCTGGGTGTGGCACAGAGCCAGAGGAGCCCCCAACCCCAGCCAAGGGAGGTGGCAAGTGATTGTGCAACCCCACTTAAGAAACCACGGTTTTCACACAGATCTTTGCCACCCACAGATCAGAAGATCCCCCTCATGAGCGCATGCCACCAGTGCCTTGGGTCTGAAGCACAGAGCTGTGTGGACTCTGTAGCCGCTTGGGCAGGCACGGAGACCCAGGAGTTTTTGCTTACTCCAGCCCTGGGAATTCTGGTGAGGCAGATCTCTCTGTGCATTCCCCTAGGAAGGGGGCTGAAGCCAGGAAGCCAAGCAGCGTTGTTTTGCAGGCCCCGTTCACATGGCACCCCATAAGTTAAGACCCACTCTCTTGGAATATCAGCTGGCCAGCGGTAGCAGACTGGAGACTGCCTGCGATGACTGAGTTCCCAGGGAGAGGGGCAGCTGCCATCTTTGTGGCTTGAGTCAGCCGTTCTGGTGTGCCAGCTTTGGGGAGTCTGGGAGGTCTGGACCAGGAGTAATTCCCCACAGTGCAGCACAGCTGCTGTAGCAGATTGTAACCAGACTTCTTATTTAAGTGAGACCCTAATCCATCTCTCCTCACCAGGTGGGGCCACCCTATGGGATTTTCAGCACTCCAGCCAGGGTTTTACAAACAGAACTCTGCTCTCTCTGGAATGGACCCCCTGGGAAGATGGGCAGCCACCAACTCTGTGGTTCAGCTGACTTAACCTTTCCTGCCTTCTGGCTCTGGAGAGTCTGGGTGGTTTGGACAAGGGAGGTTCCCCCAAGGCTGGCACAGCTGGTTTGTCAAAGGGGAAGCCAGACTGCTTCTTTAAGCAGGTCCTTGATCCTGTTTCTCCTGACTGGGTGACACTTCCCAACACGGGTCTCCAGACACCTCCAACACTAGCATTTGGGCCAGCTTCAGGTCAGTGCCCCCGCTGGGATGCAGCTCCCAGGAGGAAGAAGCAGGAAACATGTTTGCTGTTTTTCAGTCTTTACTGGTGATACATATAGATGGGGGAGGGACTGGGGTGACTAAGATCTGGAGTGGACCCCCAGCAAACTGCAGAAGCCCTATGGAAGAGGTGTCTGACTGTTAAAAGAAAAATAAACATGCAGAAAGCAACAACAACAACATCAATGAAAAGGACCCCACAAAAACCCCATTCAAAGTCAGCAACCTCAAAGATAGGAGGTAGACAAGGCCACAAAGATGAGAAAGAATCAATGCAAAAATGCTGCAAATTCAAAAAGCCAGAGTGTCTCTTCTCCTCCAAATGACTGCAACACCTCTCCAGCAAGGGCACAGAACTGGGCTGAGGCTGAGATGGCTGAATTGACAGAAGTAGGCTTCAGAAGGTAGGTAATAATGAACTTTGCTGAGCTAGAGAAGCATGTTCTAACCCAATGCAAAGAAGCTAAGAACCATGATAAAACAATACAGCAGCTGATAACCAGACTAGCCAGTTTAGATAAAAGAATAACTTACCTGATGGGGCCGAAAAACACAACATGAGAACTTCACAATGCAATCACACGTATCAGTAGCAGAATAGACAAAGCAGGGAAAAGAAATCTCAGAGCTCGAAGACTATCTTCCTGAAATAACACATGCAGACAAGAATAGAGAAAAAAGGAATGAAAAGAAATTAACAAAACCTCCAAGAAATATGGGATTATTTAAAAAGGTTGAACCTACAACTGATTTGGGTACCTGAAAGAGAGGGGAAAGTGGAACCAAGTTAGAAAACATACTTCAGGATATCATCAAGGAGAACTTCCTCAACCTAGCAAGATAGGCCAACATTCAAATTCAGGAAATCCAGAGAACTCCAGTAAGATAAACCATGAGAAGATCAACCCCAAGACACATAATCATCAGATCCTCGAAGTTAGAAATGAAAGAAAAAAATGTTAAGGGCAGCTGGAGAGAAAGGCCATATCACCTACAAAGGGAAACGTATTAGACTAACAGTGGACCTCTTAGTGGAAACCCTACAAGCCAGAAGAGATTGGGGGCCAGTATTCAACATTCTTAAAAGAATTTCCAACCCAGAATTTCACATTTGACCAGACTATACTTCATAAGCAAAGGAGAAATAAGATCCTTTTCAGACAAGCAAGTGCTGAGGGAATTCATCACCACCATGGCTGCCTTGCAAGTGCTCCTGAAGGAAGTATTAAATATGGAAAGGAAAAACCATTACCAGCCACTACAAAAACATACTGAAGTACACAGAGCAGTGACACTATGAAGCAACTGTATAAACAAGTCTGAAAAATAGCCAGCTAGCAGCATCATGACAGGATCAAATTCACAAGTAAGAATATCATCCTTAAATGTAAATGAGCTAAATGCCCTAATTAAAGCTGGATAGAGTCAAGCACAATTGTTATGCTGTATTCAAGAGACTCATCTCACATGCAAAGACACACATAGGCTCAAAATGAAAGTAAAATAAAAATTTACCAAGCACATGGAAAACAGAAAAAAGCAGGGGTTGCAACCCTCATTTCTGACAAAACAGACTTTAAACTGACAAAGACCCAAAAGACGAAAAAGGGCATTACATAATGGAAAAGGGTTCAATTCATCAAGAAAAGCTAACTATCATAAATATATATAAACCTAATACAGAAGATTTATAAAGTAAGTTCTTAGAGACCTACAAAAAGATGTAGACTCCCACACAATAGTGGGAGACGTTAACAACCCACTGACAATATTAGACAGATCACTGAGACAGAAAATTAACAAAGATATTCAGAACATGAACTCAGCTCTGGATCAAGTGGATCTGATAGATATCTACAGAACTCTCCACCCCAAAACAAAAGAAGATATATTATTCTCATTGCCACGTGGCACTTACTGTAAAATTGATCATATAATCAGAAATTAAACACTCAGCAAATGCAAAATAACAGAAATAACAACAGTCTCTCAAAGCACAGAACAATCATTAGAATTCAAGATTAAAAAACTCACTCAAAACCACACAACTACATATAAATTGAACAATCTGCTCCTATATGACTCTTGGGTAAATAATGAAATGAAGACAGAAATCAACAAGTTCTTTGAAACCAATAAGAACAAAGAGACAATGTACCAGAATCTCTGGAATGCAGCTAATGTGGTATTAAAAGGAAAATGTAAAGCACTAAATGCCCCCATCAAAAAGCTAGAAAAGTCTCAAATTGGCAACCTAACATCACAACTAAAAGAACTAGAGAATCAAGGGTAAACAAACACTAAAGCTAGCAGAAGACAAGAAACAACTAAAATCAGAATGGCACTGAAAGAGATGGAGACATGAGAAACCCCCCCCAAAAAATCAATGAATCCAGGAGCTGTTTTTTTAAAATTTAATAAAATAGACCACTAGCTAGACTAATTTAAAAAAAGAGAAGAATCAAGTAGACATCACCAGAAATGATAACAGGGATATTACCTTTGACCCCACAGAAATACAAACAATCATGAGAGAATATTATAAACAACTCTATGCACATAAACTAGAAAATATAGAAGAAATTGATACATTCCTGGATGCATACACACTTTGAAGACTGAACCAGGAATAAACTGAATCCCAGAATAAACCAATAATGAGTTCTGAAATTGAAACAGCAATAAATAGCCTACCAAGAAAAAAAAAAAATCCCAGGGCCAGATGGACTTACAGCTGAATTCTACGGGAGGTACAAAAGAAACTGGTACCATTTGTACTGAAACTATTTCAAACAATTGAAAATAAGGGACTCCTCCTTAACTCCTTCTATGAGGCCAGGACCATTCTGATACCAAAACCTGGCAGAGATACAACAAAAAAAGAAAACTTCAGGCCAATATCCCTAATGAACATTAATGCAAAACTCCTCAATAAAATACTGGCAAACCCAATCCAGCAGCACATCAAAAAGCTTATCCACCATGATCAAGGTGGCTTCATCCCTGGAATGTAAGTTGGTTCAACATAGGCAAATAAATAAATGTAATTCATCACATAAACAAAACTAAATACAAAAACTAGATGATTATCTCAATCGATGCAGAGACTTCCATAATATTAATAACCGCATGATTATCTCAATAGATGCAAAGGCTTCAATAATATTCAACATCTCTTCATGCTAAAAACTCTCCATAAACTAGGTATTGAAGGAACATACCTCAAAATAATAAGAGCCATCTATGACAAACCCACATTCAATATCATACTGAATGGGTAAAAGCTGGAAGTATTTCCCTTGAAAACCGAGACAAGACAAAGATTACCTCTCTCACAACTCCTATTCAACATAATATTAGAAGTTTGGGCCAGGGCAATCAGGCAAGAGAAAAAAAATGGTATTCAAATAGGAAGAGAAAAATTCAAATTATCTTTGTTTGCAGATGACACGATACTATATCTAGAAAACCCCATCATCTCAGTCCAAAAGCTAATAAGCAACTTCAGCAAAGTCTCAGGATACAAAATAAACGTGCAACAATCACAAACATTCCTATACTATGACAACAGGTGAGCAGAGAACCAAATCATGAATGAATTCCCATTTATAATTGCCAGAAAAAGAATAAAACAGCTAGGAATACAGCTAACAAGGGAAGTGAAGAATCTCTTCAAGAAGAGCTACAAACCACTTCTCAAGGGAGTCAGAGAAGATACAAACAAATGAAAAAACATTCCATGCTCATGGATAGGAAGAATCAATATCGTGAAAATGGCCATACTGCCCAAAGTAATTTGTAGAGTCAGTGCTATTCCCATTAAATTACCATTGACATTCTTCACAGAATTAGAAAAAACTATTTTAATATTAATATGGCACAAAAAAAGAGCTTGACTAGTCAAAAAAATCCTTAGCAAAAATATCAAAGCTGGAGCCCTCATGCTACCTAACTTCCAACTATACTACAACATTACGGTAATAAAAACAGCATGGTACTATTACAAAAACAGACACATGGACCAATGGAACAGAATAGAGATCTCAGGAATAAAATCACACACCTACAACCTCTGATCTTTGACAAACCTGACAAAAACAAGCAATGGGAAAGGTATTCTTTATTTAATAAATGGTGCTGGGAAAACTGGCCAGCCATATGCAAAAAATTGAATCTAGTCCCCTTTTTTAAAGCTTATAAAAAATTAATTCAAGATGGATTGAAGACTTAAATGTGAAACCCAAAACTATAAAAACTCTGGAAGAACATCTAGACAATACCATTCAGAACATAGGCATGGGTAAAAATTTCATGACAAAAACACCAAAAGCAATTGCAACAAAAGCAAAAACTGACAAATGGGATCTAATTAAACCAAAGAGCTTCTGCACAGCAAAATAAACTATCATCAGAGTGAACAGAAACCTATAGAATGGGAGAAATTTTTTGCAATTTATCTGTCTAACAAAGGTCTAATATCCAGCATCTACAAGAAATTTAAACAAATTTACAAGAAAAAAACAAACAACCCCATTGAAAAGTGGGCAAAGGATATGAACAGACACTTCTCAAAAGAAGATATTCATGTGGCCAACAAACATATGAAAAAAGCTCAACATCACTGATTATTAGATAAATGGAAATAAAAACCATAATGAGATACCATCTTATGCCAGTCAGAATGGCAATTATTAATAAGTCAAAAAAGGTCTCTAAGAATTTTTCTTGACTTTTTAATAATTGTCCTTCTGACTGGCATAAGATGGTATCTAACTGATCCCACAGAAATACAAACTACCATCAGAGAATACTATAAACACCTCTATTCAAATAAACTAGAAAATCTAGAAGAAATGGATAAATTCCTGGACATATGCACCCTCCTAAGTCTAAACCAGGAAGAAGTCGAATCCCTGAATAAACCAATAACAAGTTCTGAAATTGAGGCAGTAATTAATAGCCTACCAACCAAAAAAAGCCCAGGACCAGACGGATTCACAGCCGCATTCCACCAGAAATACACAGAGGAGCTGGTACCATTTCTTCTGAAACTATTGTAAACAATAGAAAAATAGGGACTCCTCTCTAACTCATTTTATGAGGCCAGAATCATCCTGATTCCAAAACCTGGCAAAGACACAACAAAAAAAGAAAATTTCAGGCCAATATCCCTGATGAACATCGATGTGAAAAACAAATTTACAAGAAAAAACAACCGCATCAGAAAGTGGGCAAAGGCTATGGACAGACACTTCTTAAAAGAAGACACTTATGCGGCCAACAAACATATTAAAGAAAGCTCATTATTACTGGTCATTAGAGGAATGCAAATAAAAACCACAATGAGATACCATCTCATGCCAGTTAGAATGGTGATCATTAAAAAGTCTGGAATCAACAGATGCTGGCAAGGCTGTGGAGAAATAGGAATGCTTTTACACTGTTGGTGGTGGTGTAAATTAGTTCAACCATTGTGGAAGACAGTGTGATGATTCCTCAAGGATTTATAACCAGAAATACCATTTGACCCAGCAATCTCATTACTGGGTATATAACCAAAGGATTATAAATCATTGTATTATAAAGACACATGCACACTTATGTTTATTGCAGCACTATTAACAGTAGCAAAGTCTTGGAACCAACCCAAATGCCCATCAATGATAGATCAGATACAGAAAATGTGGCACATATACACCATGGAATACTATGCAGTCATAAAAAAGCATGAGTTCATGTCCTTTGCAGGGACGTAGATGAAGCTGGAAGCCATCATTCTCAGCAAACTAACAGACGAACAGAAAACCAAACACCACATGTTCTCACTCACAAGTGGGAGTTGAACAATGAGAACACATGGACCCAGGGAGGGATGGGGGTCTAGGGGAGGGATAGCATTAGGAGAAATACCTAATGTAGATGATGGGTTGATGGGTGCAGCAAACTCCCATGGCACGCATATACCTACGTAACAAACCTGCATGTTCTGCGCATGTATCCGAGAACTTAAAGTATATATGTATATATAAAAAAAAGAGACAGAGAGCAGAAGAATCATTACCAGAGGCTGGGAAGGGATGTGGGAGGGTAGGGGTGAGGTGGTGATGGTTAGTGGGTATAAAAAAAGTTAGAAATAATAAATAAGACTTGCTATTTGATAGTACAACAGAGTGACTATAGTCAATAATAACATAATTGCATATTTTAAAATAACTTAAAGACTGTAATTGGATTGTTTGTAACTCAAAGTATAAATGCTTGAGGGGATGGATACCCTGTTCTTCATGATATAATTTCACATTGTATACCTGTATCAAAATGTCGCATGTAACACATAAATATATATATCTGCCATGTACCCACAAAAATAAAAAAGTTAAAAAAATACATTAAAAAATAAACTCTCACAGAATAAATCAATGATACAATATTTTTTTAACTTGGAAGTTTAGCTGTTCATCAAGGTCTTTTGCTGTTTATGAATCATCATGTTAATATCGCATTAGTTTACATATTGTTTTAACATGACGTGGAGCAGTAGGGTGTATAATTGTTTGAATGTTTCTTTCCACTGACTGCACAGCATTGTTTCTTCCTGCAGCTGAAAAAGTGTTTTCTCCTACCTGACACTTAACGAGGACATTTCCAGTCATTTAGCAGCAAATGCATACCATTTAGAACATATCTCATTCATATGATTAGGATTTAAAATGAAGCAGATTGCCAAATAGTATTAGAACAGCAGACATACAGGGACAATTGTGTCCTTGTTATTTTGCAGTCTATTGTGCATTCATCTTGTTTTTATCTAGTCTCTCTTTCTCTCTCTCTCTCTGTTTCACTAAGATAATAGAAATAAATTAAACCAATGAATCAGTTTTGCCTTTCACAAAGACTGTAATGCTAACTAAATCAAGAAAAAGACTAAAAGGAAATGATCCTTTCTTAGTTTTCTCTTGTAGTTTCAATTATTTAAGGTGTAATTTGAAAGCATCATGAAGGTTGAGTTTCAGTAGAGACTTAAAGTACTTTGCAGAAATAAGTCAATTTCTTCTGAGCAACAATAATACATTCATTGGAGAAATGGTGAACATTATTTTTTTTTCATTTAGAAAAAGATGTTCCTTCAAGACCTAAATGATTAGGATATCACTCAGCCACAATGAAGGGTTATGTCCTTGCATCTTTATACAAGGGCACTTTCTACTTCAACTCACTGCCACTGCTGGAAATAACAGTACAAAACTCTATGTCATCTTAAATGTTACTTGGATATCAATGAATACAGCATATATTTAACCTGATATTTTAATTCCTATCCACAATTTTAAAGTATACTCTATTTTTCCCATTAATATCTACCTTTATTATTTTTATCTTTAAGAGGGCAAAACACCTTTAAGAGGGCAAAAACGTATGTAGCAGGATGCCTTACATGTAAATATTTTTTTACTAGTGTAGTGGCATACACAAAACATATCAAAAGACATGGGGAAATGACTTCCAATATTCCATATATCATAAAGTGAAGAGCAAGCTTCCATCCTTTTATTTAAGAATTCATAGTAAAAATATTGTCTCCTGAACTAATTTGTTTCTACCTAACTGCTCCTCTGTTCACCTACCCCAAGGTGTTTTGAAAGAGAGAAAGTAAGATTCCTTACTGTTCTTGATATAGATTTGTCTTCCCTCCTGGAAAGATCTCAGTCAGATGGAAAAAAAGAGATAGGTTTCTAAACTGTCCCAGATTCAAATATGAGCAGTAGGATCCATCTGGTAGGAGAAAAAAAAGAGAATGATTCCAAAATACATGCTGCTGCACCAATTCTGAAATGCAAATACTTATTTCTTTCTAAATGTACACAAATGAGTGTAAAGTGTTAACATTTCCTCATGTTATTTACTTGTTTTAAAATGTATATATTTGTAAATTGTTGATTTATCCCTTTTCATAGACACTAATTCATCATACTTACATCATTGATAAACTCTATAATATTTTAATGGATAACCATTTGATGTGATAAACTTATTATGGAAATGGAAGATTTTTAAAGGGGCAAATTTTCTGTTAACATTAAGCAAAAATTAATTTCTTGCTGTTATACATTTCAAAAAATACAATTGCATATGCATATGGCAGAATAGTAAATTTATGTTGATCTTAGTTAATTATGGAGCAGAGATAACAGAGATTAATTCTGATATCTGCTACTGGCTTCCTTTGTGACCATGGCCACATATTTCTTGGCTTATTTTTATAGTTGGGATAATAATAAGTCTACTCTTTCTCAGAAGGATTTGATTTAAAAGCACAGAATACTTTCACCTCTTAACATTCACTGAATCTTTCTGGAGGGAATAAGGAGCTCAAAGTCATCAAATCTTCAGTGAACAAAATGGAGGTGTCTTTCAATCTTGGGCGCATCAGTTCAAGCCTCCTGTTGCCCATGAAAAATTTATAAAACTCAACATTAAAACATACACTGATAGAAGAGGAAGAGAGCAAACACAGGTAATACAGAAACTGAAGAGATTATTTTGAAGGGAAATGGTGCTAAGGAACTGAGAAAAGACAATTAGATTTTCTACTTCTTGAGAGCCAGAAACAATGTCTTATTTAACTTTGTATCTGCAAGGTCTAGCATAGTGCCTGGCACCTACTAGCCTTTTAGTAAATGTTGTTATATGACATTGAGAGCAAAAATTATACTTTTTGAATTGATTGTAGAGGTGGTTAGATTTTGAGGAAAATATTTCAGAAGGCCATTTTCATGTTGAATTATTTGGGGGTTGGCAGATGTGAGACATTGCACTTGGAAACTAGGCCTTTTTGTAAAATGAGACAATATGTTGCTAAATTTGTCTGATCGAATTTCCTTCCCTTATGAATACATGGCATTAATTGCTGTTAGCTCCGTCACCCTCTGAGTAATATTAAACAAACTGTGACTATATAGTGAAGAGAAAGCAGGAATTTATGAGAACATTCAAAGTAAATTCAAATTGACAAATTTGAATTTGTCAATAGTATGAAATCTCTATTAGTTAATATAACAACTTCGAGATGTGACCTCCTCCTTCCCCGATTACACGCAGGTCCTCAGATTGAGCATAGGTTAAAAAGCTGCTGATATGGGAACTTTACCTAGAATTGAGGAGAGCCGTGAAAGAAATAGGGACTAGTTGAGTTTTCTTTCTAGCCCCTTGGAGCAATTTAAGAGTAGTTCCTTGTGAAAGGCATAACTACCCCCATTGAAGGGGAATGATGGATGATGTAAGAGTTGAGTATCATTCTGGTTGCTATATTTGATCTTTTGACCATTTCCTCAAAGCCTTAGCAGAGATGACATTCCAGAGAAGAACAGATTATCTCTTTTTGTGTGATACCACAAAATCTACACTATTATGGATTCTGAGTTCTGTGGTTGACCAACATATCTAGGAGCAGTAAAGTCACAAACAGATAGAAAATCTTCAAAGCAGTAGAGTAGTCTTACATTGAGAGGAAAAAGGCTATTCTGAAAATATTAATCATTGCCTCTCTTAGGAAAGATTTTCAAGCTTTTCTGTAAACTCCTTGTGTGTGTTAGAAAAGTCTGGGTTATGCTGTGGTAAAACAAAACAAGCAAACAAATAAAAACACATCAATCGCAGTAGCTTAAGACAAACAAAATTTATTCTGTGCTCACACCTATTCTTTTCTAGGTTCAGGCAACTCCACAAAGAAGTCATCCTCCATGTGTTGGCTTGAACTTCCAGATTCCTTTTAGCAACTCTGTGTTGAGACATTTTTCCACAATCATTGTAATGGGAAAGAGAGGGTTAAAAAGTCTATCACCAACATTTTTTCTTGGCTAAAGCATGTCATATAGCCAAAATTGTGTTGGTTCACGCACAATTTTTCCTAGATCATTAGCCTTTTGTGGCACCATGTATCAGGAGATTAACTGCAGTATATTAACACAGCCTAATGTGGCAAATCATAGAAAAATACTGTACTTTACACAACGACCATTCTTCTTACTATCTTCCTCTAAGCTGGATACAGGCTTATGTTCTGTCTTGGAAGTGCTTATTGTATGTCTCGTCCAAGTTTTTGTTCATTTTATTTTTGTTTCCAGTACTATTCCCTCAAGCTATATTCACATTTTTCTTTCAAGATAAAATCCTATATATAGTGTTGTAGTTCTTTGTTTACGAGCAGTTTAACATATCAATTTATAATCAGTGCTATAATTTTATAAATTTTTTTTGTTTTTTTGCTTTCCACAGTGTTGAATAGGGTTTGAGTAGTCAGCTTAAACCTATTTTTCTTATAGCATCTTTTCTTTCTAGTGAGTAATTTTGCAGGATGTGATGTTTTCCTAGTAATGCATATATGGCTTATAGCAGAGACGCTTGTATTGCAGTTAGTGTTGTACCAGTACTAAAAAAGTAGTTCTAGCTAGCATGAGGACGTAGAGGGAGCTTTGTTCCAGCAACCATTTCATCTCAAATTTGAGGAACACTTGCTAGGTTCCTATATAAATCAGACTCCTCAGAGACTTTGAGTAGCGGTACAGTAGTCTAGAACTTTGTTTAACAATTAATCATTTCAAAATCTTTTGGCTGCTAATTCTATTGTCTCACTGTGTTATTCTATGTGGCAATGATCTGCCTGCTCCAAAATACTGGGTAATTAGCCTATTATTTTAAAAAACATCTTTTGTCACATTAAGGTCAGAATGCTTAAAAATTGGGAATTTACATCTTTTGTTAGGCTGTTCACTAGGAAGGTATCCCCATTTTTACATGAATATTTACTCCACCGAGGTTTGACCACTGAAAAATTAATGCAAACTATTTTTGGCACTCCATCTCTGATCTGATCATTACACTTATAACTCTACTGGTTAGAGAAACTAGCTGTCATTTTCTTTTTTTTCCCGTTTTTCTTTTTTAGTAATTTTAATAGTTTTATGGGGAGCAGGTGGTTTTTTTCACATGGATAAGTTCTTTAGCGGTAATTTCTGAGATTTTGGAGCATCCATCACCCAAGCAGTGTACAGTGTACCCAATGTGTAGTCTTTTATCCTTGCCCCACCCCCATTCCCCCTGAGTTTCTAAAGTCCATTATATCATTCTTATGTCTTCGCATCCTCATAGCTTAGCTCCCACTTGTAAGTGAGAACATAAAATATTCGGCTTTCATTCCTGAGTTAATTCACTCATAGTAATAGTCTCCAACTCCATCCAGGTTGTTGCAAATGCCATTATTTCATTCCTTTTTATGGCTGAGTAGTATTCCATAGTGTATAAGTACCACATTTTCTTTATCCAGTCGTTTATTGATGGGCATTTGGTCTGCTTCCATATTTTTGCAATTGTGAATTGTGTTGCTATAAACGTGTGTGAAAATGTCTTTTTCATGTAATGAGCTCTTTTCCTCTGGGTAGATACCAAGTAGTGGGACTGCTGAATCAAATGGTAGTTCTATCTTTAGTTCTTTAAGGACTATCTGTTTCCCATAGTGGTTGTATTAGTTCACATTCCCACCAGCAGTGTAAAAGTGTTTCCTTTTCACCACCCCCACGTCAGCATCTATTATTTTTTTATTTTTCGATTATAGCCATTCTTAAAGTTGAAAAGTGGTATTTCGTTGTGGTTTTAATTTGCATTTCCCTGATAATTAGTGATGTTGAACATTTTTAAATATATTTATTGGGGATTTTTTATATCTTCTTTTGAGAATTGTCTATTCAGGTTATTTGCCCACTTTTTGATGGGGTTACTTGTTGTTTGTTTTTTTCTTGCTGATTTGTTTAAGTTCCTTGTACTTTCTGGATATTAGTCCTTTGTCGGATGCATAGTTTGTGAATATCCCCTTCTGTGGGAGTCTGTTTACTCTGCTGCTGATTATTTCTTTTGCTGTGCAAAAGCTTTTTAGTTTCATCAGGTCCCATCTACTTATTTTTGTTTTTACTGCATTAGCTTTTGGGTTTTTGGTCATGAAGTTTTTGCCTCAGCCAAAGTCTAGATTTATCAATGTAATCTTCTAGAATGTTCATAATTTCAGATCTTAGATTTAAGTCTTTGATCCATCTTTGGTTGATTTTTGTAGAAGATGGGAGATGTATAAATTTTAGAATTTTTTTCTTGTTCTATGAAGAATGGCGATGGTTCTTTGATGGGAATTACATTGAATCTGTAGATTGCTTTTGGCAGTATGGTGATTTTCACAATATTGATTCTACCCATTCATGAGCATGGGATGTGTTTCGATCTGTTTGTGTTGTCAATGATTTCTTTCAGCAGGGTTTTGTAGTTTTCCTTATAGAGGTCTTTCACCTCCTTGATTAGGTATTTTATTTTTTTTTACAGCTTTTGTAAAAGGAATTGAGTTCTTTATTTGATTCTTAGCTTGGTCGTTTTTGGGGTATACCAGTGCTACAGATTTGTGTACATTGATTTTGTATCCTGAAACTTTACTGAATTCATTGATCAGATCTAGGAGCTTTTTGGATGAGTCTTTAAGGTTTTCTAGGTATACAATCATATCTTCTGTCAAACAGTGACAGTATGACTTCCTTGTTACTGATCTGGATGCCATATATTCACCTTCTTGTCTGATTGCTCTGGCTAGGACTTCCAGTACTATGTTGAATAGAAGTGGTAAAAGTGGGCATCCTTGTCTTATTCCATTTCTCAGGGGGCATGTTTTTATCTTTTTCCCTTTCAGTATAATGTTGGCTGTGAGTTTTTCATAGATGGCTTTTATTGAGGTATGTCCCTTTTGTGACAATTTTGCTGAGAGTTTTAATCATAAAGAAATGATGGATTTTGTCAAAAGCTTTTTTATGCAACTACTGAGATGATCATAGGATTTTCGTTTTTAATTCTGTATGTGATGTACTTCATTTATTGACTTGTGTAAGGTAAACCATCCCTGCATCCCTGGTAGAAAACCCTCTTGATCAAAGTGTATTATCTTTTTGATATGCTGCTAAATTCAGTTCACTAGTATTTTTTTGAGGATTTTTGCATCTATGTTCATCAGGGATATTGGTCTGTAGTAGTAGTAGTAGTAGTAGTAGTAGTAGTAGTAGTAGTAGTAGTTGTTGTTGTTGTTGTTGTGTCTTTCCCTGGTTTTAGAATTAGGATGATACTAACTTCACAGAATGACTTAGGGAGGATTCCCTCTTTATCTTTTGGAATAGTTATAGTAAGATTGGTACCAATTCTTCTTTGAATGTCTAATAGAATTCAGCTGTGAATCCATCTGGTCCTGGACTTTTTTTGTTGGCAATTTTAAAATTACTATTTCAATCATGTTACTTGTTATTGGTCTGTTCAGAGTTTCTATTTCTTCCTGATTTATTCTGGCAGGGTTATATATTTTCAGGAATTTATCCATCTTCTCTAGATTTCTAGTTTGTGCACATAAATGTGTTCATAGTAGCCTTGAATTATGTTTTGTATTTCTGTGGCGTCTGTTGTAATATCTCTTGATTCATTTCTGTTTGAGCTTGTTTGGATCTTCTCTCTTCTTGTTTAATCTCAGTAGTGGTCTATCCACTTTGTTTATCTTTTCAGATAACCAGTTTTTTGTTTCCTTTATCTCTTTTATTGTTTTTGTTTCAATTTCATTTAGTTCTGCTCTGATCTTTGTTATTTCTTTCTTCTGCCAGGTTTGGACTTGGTTTGTTCTTGTTTCTCTAGTTCCTTGAGGTGCAACCTTAGATTGTCTATTTGCACTCTTTCAGACTTTTTGACGTAGGCATTTAATGCTATGAACTTTCCTCTTAGCACCACTTTTGCTGTATCCCAGAGGTTTTGATAAGTTCTGTTACTGTTATTGTTCAGGTCAAATAATTTTTTAATTTCAATATTGATTTCATTATTGACCCAAGGATCATTCAAGAGCAGATTGTTTAATTTCCATGTATTCTTATAGTTTTGAGGGTTTCTTTTAGAGTTAATTTCCTGTTTTGTTTCACTGTGGTCTGAGAGGATACTTGATATAATTTTGATTTTCTTAAATTTATTGAGACTTGTTTTGTGGCCAATTATATATTCTATCTTAGAGAATGTTCCATGTGCTGAAGAAAAGAATTTATATTCTGCAGTTGGGTAGAATGTTCTGTAAATGTCTGTTAAGTCCATCTGTTCTAGGGTATACTTTAAGTCCATTGTTTCTTTTTTGACTTTCTATCTTGATGACCTATCTAGTGCTGTCAGTAGAGTATCAAAGTCCCATACCATTATTGTGTTGACATTCATCTCATTTCTTAGGTCTAGTAGTAGCTGTTTTATCAGTTTGGGTACTCCAATATTAGGTGCATTTTTATTGAAGATTGTGATAGTTTCTTGTTGGTCTATTTCTTTTTATCATTATATGATGTTCTTCTTTTTCATTTTTTATTGTTTTTGCTTTAAAGTCTGTTTTGCCTGATATAAGAATAACTACTCCTGGTTGCTTTTAGTTTCCATTCACAAGAAATATATTTTTCCACCCCATTACCTTAAGTTTATATGAGTCCTTAGGTGGTAGTTGAGTCTCTTGAAGACAGCAGATACTTGGTTGGTGGATTTTTATCCATTCTGCCATTATGTATATTTTAAGTGGAGCACTTAGTCCATTTACATTCAATGTTAGTGTTGAGATGTGAGGTACTGTTGTTTTCCTCATGTTAGTTATTGCTTTAATACCTTGTTTTATTTTGTTTTAATTGTGTTGTTGTTTTATGGGCCCTGTGAGATTTATGCTGTAAGGAGGCTCGATTTTGGTGTATTTTGAGATTTTCTTTCAAGATTTAGAACCCCTTTAAGCAATTCTTGCCGTGCTAGTTTAGTAGTGGTGAATTCTCTCATCATTTGTTTGTCTGAAAAAGACTTTATCTCTCCATTTATGAGGCTTAGTTTTGGTGGATACAAAATTGTTGGCTGACAATTTTTTTCTTTAAGGAAGTTACAAATGGGACCCCAATCCCTTCTGGCTTGTAAGGTTTCTGCTGAGAAGTCTGCTATTAATCTGATAGATTTTCCTTAATAGGTTATCTGATGCTTTTGTCTCACAGTTCTTAAGATTCTTTCCTTTGTTTTGACTTTCGATAACCTGAAGAATACATGGATCTTTTTGTGATGAATTTCCAAGGTGTTCTTTGAGCTTCTTGCATTTGAACGTCTAGATCTCTAGCAAGGTCTGGGAAGCTTTCTTCAATTATTCCCTCAAATAAGTTTTCCAGACTTTCAGATTTCTCTTCTTCCTCAGGAGCACCAATTATTTTTACATTTGGTCATTTAACATAATCCCAAATTTCTTGGAGGCTTTGTTTATTTTTTTAAATTCTTTTTTCTTCGTCTTTGTCTCATTGGGTTAATTTGAAAGCCTTGTCTTTGAGCTCTGAAGTTCTTTCTTCTGCTTGTTTTAGTGTATTGTTGGAACTTTCAACTGCATTTTGTATTTCTCTAAGTGTGTCTTTCATTTCCAGAAATTGTTATTGTATCTTCTTTGTGATATATATTTCTCTTGAGAAGTTTTCATCTATATCCTCCATTGTTTTTTAATTTCTTTAAGTTGATTTTCACCTTTCTCTGGTATCTCCTTGAATAGCTTAATAATCCACCTTCTGAATTGTTTATCTGGCAATTCAAAAATTTCTTCTTGGTTTGGATACATTGCTGGCAAGCTGTTGTGATCTTTTGGGCATGTTATAGAACCCTGTTTTGTCATATTGCCTGGATTACTTTTCTGGTACCTTCTAATTTGGGTAGACTATTTCAGTGGAGAGGCTTGAAACTTAAGTCTTGCTGTTCAGATTATCTTGTCTCATGGGGTGATTCCTTGATGTGGTGCTTTCCTCCTTCCCCTAGGGATGTGGCTTTCTAAGAGCTGAACAGCGGTGATTGTTATTGTTCTTCTGGGTCTAGCCACCCAGTGCGGCCACCAGGCCTCTAGGCTGGTGCTGGGAGATGTCTGCAAAGTGTCCTGTAATGTGATCTGTCTTCAGGTCTCCCAGTAGTGGATACCAGCACCTGCTCTGGTAGAGGTGGCAGGGGAGTGAAGTAGACTCTGTAAGAGTTCTTGTTTGTAGATATGTTTAGTTTCCTGGCTTTCTAGAATGCTGGTTCTGCTAGCAGTGAAGTTGTCCTTTGTACACACTCAGGGCCTCTGGTTAGACTGGATGTTGCAAGCAGTGTAATTAGGTGTTGTCTTCTCCTTCCTGGGATCAAGATTATTTTGTCCTGGGTTGCTGTAATGGCATGAGTTGGTTGGCCTCCACCCAAGAGGTGATGCTTTCAAGAGAGTACCAGCTGTGGTAGTACTAGGGGGCTCTAAACAAACTCTAAGATGGTCATGGTAAGTATTTTGGTTTCTCAGGTGATGGACAGGGCCATAAAGCTCCCAAGAGTTTCTATGTTTTGTGTTCGGCTACCAAGGCATGTAGAGACATACCTTCAGGTGGGGGCAGGGTTAGGTGAATCTGGGCTCTCCTTGGTTGGGGCTTGCCATAGCCACTGTGAAGGATAAGGGGTGGTTCTCATGCCAATGTGGATATGTTCCAGAGGGGATCTTGGCTGCCTCTGCTGTATGATATAGTTTGCCAGGGGAGTTGGGGACAGTCAGCAGTGAGAGACCTCACCCAGCTCCCATGCAGTTGTTGAGGTCAGTCTCACTTCTGCAGTGCCCCACTCAGACCATACCCTAGGCCGTGATCTACCCCACTGAGACAGCAAACATGGCTTTTGGATCTCGCTCTTTCCCACCTGCCCATTTGGCAGCTCCTGTGCTACTGCACTCACTCATATCTGCAGCAGCTCCCGCTCATCCCCTGGACTCTGCTCAGGAAAATTTGTGTCCAGTCAAAACTACTGCCAGGTTTAGTTGGGAGCTTCCTTTGCCCCATGACCCTTCCCTAATTCTAGTGTCTGCTTTCCCCAAGGTCTCCTGTGAGATAAGAGTTAGGACTGGCTTATCTGGGCTCAAGCTGGAGACTGGGAATGCGGGCAAGGCACTTCCTGCTGCTACTTCTACTTTTATATTTCACTCAACTTTATATCCATTTCATCTTTAGGTAAGGTTAAATCCTTTTCTCATGACCTAGATTTTCAGATTCCCCAGTGGGGATGTGTATTCAGAAGTAGGTTTCCTTCCTCTCACACTTTGGGAACTCACATTTTTTTTGCCTGTTTTGTGGAATTTGCAGTGGTGTGCCACTTCTTTCAAAGGACCCTTGAATTCTTTTGGTTTTCCTGATATGTTCCTGCAGTGGTCCTTTGAGTGAAAAATCATCGTATGTCTCCACATGATGCTTTGTTTGTTCATGTGGGAGCTGCATGTTAGCCCTGTCTCCTATCTGCTATCTTTCCCAGATCTCCTTAGCTGTCATTTTCAAAAGTTGTTATTTAAATGGAGGACCATTATTCCAATCATATGCTAATAATATAGTAATTAGAATTGAATTCAAGTACTGTTTATACAAGCAAAAAAAGATCTTTACAATTTTGACTCCTTTCTTAAAAGAAAGAAAATTAACTTGACCATAAGAAAATGAGAGTAAAGTAAGTGACTGACAATGACTGACCATTTGTAACCTTTGTAGGAAATATTAATGGTAGTCTTTATTCTCATTCCCTTTAGTGACACAGTGTGAATGTATTTGTACTGTCATTAGAAATTCTGTGAAGGTTGCCAGGCGGAGGCCGAGGCGGGCAGATCACCTGAGGTCAAGAGTTCGAGATCAGCCTGGCCAACATGGTAAAACCCCGTATCTCCTAAAAATACAGAAATTAACCAGGCGTAGTGGCAGTCACCTGTAATCTCAGCTACTCAGGAGGCTGAGGCAGGAGAATCGCTTGAACCTGGGAGGCAGAGGTTGCAGTGAGCCAAGATCGCACAACTGCACTCCAGCCTGAGTGACAGAGCAAAACTCTGTCTCAAAAAAAGAAAGAAAAAAAATTCTTTGAAAGCCACTACTGTCTATAAACAGGCTTTTGAAAACCCCATCACATATATAATGGGACCATGTTCACAGTGGTCATTGCACAGTTATTTCTTGGTAGTTAAAATGAGAGGTTGATGACATAATAAGCTTTTTCTAATTTAAAGTTGTTTTTGATTGTATACAAAAGCTTAAAGGCATGTGATATACTTAAATATCATAGTCCATCTCTCTCAATCTCTCTCTAACTGCTTTTTGGCAAGGGACATAATGAGTATGTTAAACTAGGGTATATTTAGGATTGGTAGACTGAGGAGAATTCTTATAACCCAAATGTCAGTATTGGATATACTGCAGTTGTACAATGAGAAGCCTCCTAAGAGAGATTATTCTACTTTTGCTTTTTCGGAATTCTGTGGCTGAGGCAAAGGAAGGGATATGAAACATGGCTTAAAATGATTTATTGTAAAACATAGGCCTTGACTACTAACCTAGATAGTAGCAGTAGGAAAGATGCCACATTTTTATGATAAAAATAAAGTAGGAAGTGAACAAGCTTTGGAGTTCCCAAAGTTCCCTTCCTGAGTTAGTACCTTCATCTTGCAGGAAGAACTTCTCATTCCTCCTAAGCAGATGTATTCGATGTTTTTCTATGCCAGACTAATAAAAGACTTTTCATTGTTAAAATATTGGAACCTCAGGGTAAAACTCATTGCAAGGTACTTTGATTTTAACAAAGAATTTGGGAAAATAGTGTATATGAAGAACTTTCTATTTGCAGTGATTGCCTTAAAGGGTAATTCAGTTCATATTAGAAGTCAACAATTAGAGTTTTAAATGAAAGATGCTATCAAAAATAATAGCAGCATTTGGATGTTTCATAGATTCTCTGAAAATATACATTTCATGTGCAATATATGGCATTGCAACTATTATTTGGCATCTCTCATACGGTAAGTCAAATTGTTGTAGAAAAAAAAAGTTTCAGCCATAAGAGGCAGAGATTCTGAGCCTTATTTGTAAAATGGGAATGATATTTCCTCACAGGTTTGCTAGGAGACCAAATAGGATAATACATATAGATGTGCTTTGTGAATTGTAAAATGCTCAGCAGATATTAATTCTAATTCCAGCGTCATGTGCAATTAGTTCTTGTAAGAATGTTTTTTTCAACAATATCCTAAGCTTCCCGGTGAAACCAGGTATGAATCTTCATTTGATCACAGATAAAAAAGACAAATTATTCTCTGCAGCCAATAGGAGATCAATTTTTTTGAATGAGAAAGGCAATATAATTGGAGCTAGTCTGAGCCATCACAGACATCTTTCTAGAAATGGCCCCATTTTTACCTATAACTGGAATTCAATTTATGTTGTTTCGTATTTCTGAACAAATATAAGAGATCAGGAAAGAATGTGTTCTCTGGCTTTTCTTTGGTTCTCCCATGTGGCTTTCTGAATCAGTCTTTGCTGGGGAGAAATTTCAAAGAAATTTGCAATGACTCTCTCATATTCATCTTCTGAGGTAGTGTGCAAGAGGGCTCAGTGTATGAACAATAAAACTAGAACCGAACACTTAAAATTAATATAACTTTCAAGTATATAATATTGTCTTAATTAACAATGATTTAAACTTATCAGTTGAATTATTTCATTGAAGAATAAAATAATTTTATCTCCTAAGGCATGTATATATATATATATATATATATATATATATAAAATAGGTATTTGAACTTTTGAACTGCTGTCTTATAATTTTAATTATTTATGTTATATTTCTTTAACATGATTTATATTATTCTGAATTCAATTATTGTTTAGAGGAAGCTAGTTCTAAAAATTATATGTAATTATAATTATATGAATATTTTTGTATATTTATAATACAATGATATAAATATATATAATTATGTGAAATTATGTATGCATAAAATCTTTACAGGCAACAATTTTTGATATGTATTCAATTAAGTAAATATACTACATGATTTTATACTATGCATTCATAGTTTTTTTAAAATAATTTTTATTTTATTTGTGGCATTGGGGTTGAAGTTCCTTTTTTCCCTCTCTTATTATAAATTAATTACTTATTATGACTGTACTAAAATTCAAGTCTTCTAATATGTGCTATCCAGACCCATGATTCTATTAAACTCTCTATTAATAAAACATATATGTAGTTTGATACAGAAATAAATGCTTTCACTTATTAAAAATAAAAACTTGAAATAACTATTTTCTTGGCTTTGGATAAGAGACTAGACCCTATACACTCTTTCTTTATTTCAGCCTAGTCTAAAGCTGCGATGGTGACCAAAATTTTCACAAAGACTGACTCCCTGTTTCTAGCATGCAACTTCATGGATAAGTGCTGTAATGACAAGGACCAGAGAGTATGCTTTCATTATACTTCTCAATCTCTTTTCCTGCTGAGACAGCTGGACATTTTTACTGGGGGAAGAGGAAAGAAGAAAGACTTCCACAATACTTTGCACACTGTAAATTCTCAACGTGTTTGTTGAACAAATGTAAAATATTTGCAGTTCCTCAAGTAAATGCCTTATTTCCCATGTCCTATATCATAATGCACATTCATGTTAATGAATATATTATAAGTGCATGTGTATAATACAAAAATGTTTCATTTCACTAGAATTTGAGACTTCAGACAGTAGCTGATTATCCTGAGTATAAACTTGCAGGGAATAAGTGTTTGGTGGTAAGTTGTACAGTAGAATGATATTTTTGTGCACTGAAAAAGAAGAGATAATTTCAACACTTCGTATCATTGTGAAAAAGCATGGCTGTGGGAGCCATGTTAAAGCTGTGCAGGAAGTACAAGGGAAGGAAAATCAAATAGGAAAAAAGCTATCTGACAAGAGCCATGTCTGGATTTGTTTATTAGCTATACTGAAGTAAAAATTAAAGATGTATTTTATCTGAGACATTTAAACTCACTTGATTTCTTTACACTTATATTAGTGAATTTATTTTTAATTTAAAATACTGATAAATTTACATGCAGTTCCTGAAATCAGATCTTATAAAGGCATTAAAAATATGGTATTTAGTTAGAAACAGAATACCTTTTATTATATTTTGTATTTACCATACAACAGAGGAGGTTCATATTTACGTAGTTGTCACTGGTTATACAATGCATTTCTACTATTTATAAACTATATCTGCTTCATGTGGAAAGGCCAAAGGAAGATAATATATGTTATATGTAAACTGAACAACCAAGTGTCTGACACTCACTAAATTGGAGATGTCATCTTCATTTTCATCATAACCATCATATCTCTTTCAAAGGTCAAAGAGTAAGCTTTAATCCTGTTTTGTTCTTAGTCTTTTATTAAGTTTGAATTCATATAGAAAAATAATCTAGCATCCTTTGAATTCCTTGATATGCCTTTCTTTTAGCTTTTTCCTTTTGTTTTTAGTTCTCCAATAGAAGTTGCCAAATTTAGTGTGGTTTAGGTGTAACTGAACCCCACTGTATTGTATGAGAATTCCACAGTAAGTAAAGTCCTTTGTTTTCATCATTTTCTGGAGTAATTCACAGTCAACAGTGACCTGAGTCCTGTTCCTAGGCCTTAAATGACAGCATAGATATAATAGTTTAGGTTATATTTTTCTAAACTGAGTTGCCTTACTTTCATCTATCTTTAAACTTTTCTTGAAGCTTATCTGATGCTTTTCTGTCAACTCAAATAGCTATGTTATATCTTCTCACGGTTTAACACATCCATATAAATTGGCATTTTTCTCTTGTGTCATTTGACTCTGTGCCATTTAAATTATCTGAGAGGTAAGGAACAGAGCCAGAAAACAGTGTACTCTGTTGTGCAGGCCTCCTGAAGATGCGTCCTAAAATAACGTAAGAAAGGGGCATCTTTCAAGTATGCAGAATATAAGGCCACATTTGTGCTATTATTTGAGGGGTGCTATTACTCTTCCCTTGTCTTCAAATACTTTCTGCCCCACACAAAAATGTCTCCATCCTCAACTTTCTGTATTGTGAATATGTTAAGGAAATTTTAGAATGCTTTAGGTCCTAATGGATTTCCTTGGTTCAGGAGACACAACTTAAATTTCATTTTATCTGGGAATACCTTCCTGACTCCTCTAGGTAATTAGGCTTTGCCCCATTCTCCTACTGATCCCTGTCTACACTTTAGTTGTAGCATAAGACAAATTTACTTGTTTTCATGATAGCTGACACAGTGCCTGAAAGAAAAATGCTCTCAATACATGTGGGTCTACAAATACAAAATAAATAAATGAGGCAAATGCTTAGGGGAAATATTTTATTTTAAGCCTGAAATACCTCTCCATTAAATATTTGATAAGATCTGCATGTGAGTTAATTTGTTAAGAATAGGGAGTTGTGAGGAGTGAGTGGAGTGGGTGTTATCTCTCATACAAATGAGAAGGGAGTTTTCTGTGGAAAGAAGAGTAGAAAAGATTGGTAGATACTTCTTACAGCTTTTCTTACAGCCTGACTGAATTAAATCTTTGTATACCTAATCATGTCCTCTTTACCATTCCATACTATCTCCTGTAAAACAAAAATAAAATTCTAAGCCCCTTAACCATCTAAATAAACTCTTACTGTCAGCTAAGGGCATTCCAAAGTTAGCCTGAAAAACTAGTGTCAGGCCATGATGGGAAGGGGGAGCTGGACATGCTTAATTACACCCTTCTTCCTTTTGGAATTACTGGTAGAACAGATTCTTTACGTCTGATAAGAAACATTTACAATCTCTTCTCTCTGAGACCTGCTACCTGGAGGCTTCATCTGCATGACAAAACCTTGGTCTCCACAACCACTTATCACAACCCAGACATTCCTTTCTATTGGTAATAACTCTTTCAACCAATTCACAATCAGAAAATCTTTGAATCCTCCCATGACTTGGAAGCCCCTGCTTCCCAGTTGTTCTGCTTTCTGGACTGAACCAGTGGACATCATATATGCATTAACTGATGCCTTATGTCTCCATAAAATGCATAAAACAAAGTTGTGGCCTAACCACCTTGGGCACATGTTCTTACAATCTCCTGAGGCCTGTGTTACAGGCCATTGGTCAGTCATAATTTGGCTCAGAATAAATCTCTTAAAATATTTTAGAGTTTGACTCTTTGTGTTGACACTTCCTACATCTTATCACACTCTCTGACAACACTTTCTTTTCATACTCTTGCCTTTGTGTAGCAAATTTACCTACGAATAAAGGATTGAATATAAACTAGGACTTTCTATTGATATGGAGAAGGTATAGAAACATAGAAACATATTAAGAAACAAAAAGTGATAAAATTTAAAGCTGCAATATTCTGATTTGTACATATCCATTTAGAATGATTCATTTCTTTAGCAAATAAAGTATGTTTTAATTTTTCCTAAAGTGTAATATAAAATATTAAACATTTTGAGTACAAATGTTACATAAACAAAATAAAAACAGTCATAGCATTGCTCTTGGATGAATGCCTGTCACTCAGACACATGGTTTTCTGATAATCTACCCATAATGGGGAATTTGACGAAAGGTTATTTTTCTTTTTTGTTAGCAGTTTGTCAGAAGAACATAGGTGTTTACATGTGTAATATCATTTTGAGTAACAAATGCCTCTGACTTTATGACAATGTGTCCACTACTGTTTTGTTGATACAGCAATATCTTCTATGATACTTGCATTCATTTCTTATGTGTTTTACTTTTTTTAGAATTAGAAAAAATAGATCATTTTTTCCATTTAGGAAATACTTTAGGAAATGAAGTTCAATTTTAGGGCTAGAAAGTTTTAATAAAATAAAACTGATACACATACAAATAGATGTAAGGTTGAATATTAGATGTGGAAATAAAGGATTATTATTAGGATTATTATTAGGATTACTATTAGGATTATGAGTGGAGAACGCTGAAACATAATTAACATAATTTTTAAAACCCATATTTGAATATTCCAATAAAAATGTCAATTCTTGTTTCTACGTCCCTCATATATGTTTTGAGGATTCTGACATTGTTAACCTGAGAAATATCACCCTTAACAGTCCTCCTTCTAACTGCATTCCTGATTCTGTCAGCCTTTTCAAGCCAATTTTCAGTCAGTAGTGGTATTTTCTTAAAATTAACATGTGGAAAATTGTATATAATTAGTAGAGAGCATCCTTTTTTCTCTATTTGCACTTTAGGAACATTTTCCATGTTTCTAGCATTAGTCTACCTCATCCTACCAGCCCATTTTATTCACTCATGATTTGGACCATATTCACTCATGATATGGCCCATCCTTATGAATGAATGGCTACCTATGTGGTATGATGTGAAAAATACTGACCTGTCTCCTAGTTTCTTAATATCTCCCCTATGGGTACTGACAGTATTATTGACAAACTCCATTATTATTATTCCTGTGATAATTTTGAACAGTTTAAACTTTATTAGCTACAGTACCTTCATATGTACAGTGAAAATAATATTACTTATTCTGAGGTTCAAGAGAGATTATGTGTATGAAATGCTTACGTGGAGTAAATGTGGTGCTATGGCTTGAAGGTGTCCCTTTCAAAATTCAGGTTCTGTCAATATAATAGTTTTAAGAGATGGGGACTTTAAAAACTGATTAGGTCATGGGGGCACTTACCTGGCCAAAGAGATTAAGGCCCTTATAAAAGAGGCTTCACGCAGCATTAGGTGTGCTTGCCCCTCTGCCTTCAGCCATGTGAGGACACAGCGTTCTCCCCGATCCAGAGGATGCAACAATAAGGACCATCTTGGGAGCAGAGAACAGAAAGCAGCTATCAACAGAAGACCAAACTTGCCAGCGCCGTGATCTCCAACTTTCTAAGCTTCAGAGCAATGAAAAATAAATTTCTGTTCTTTATGAATTACCTAGTCTCAGGTATCCTAGTTTAACAGCATGAATGGATTAAGACATGTGATTATAATAATACTGATAAATAACTACGGTGAAAGATGTTAGCACTGCTCACCAGTATTTCTCATTCTTCTCTCTCGCTGGATACAAACGAAAATTGTACCTCCCTTCCCCTTTGAAAATAGGAGTAGCTGTGAGAATTACCTTGAGCAGGCAATAAAATATGAGTGAAAGTAATGAGTGTCACTTCCAGGTAAAGCTCTTAAAAACGTGTCTTGTTCTGCCTTGTACCATTTCCCACCACCCAAATCAAGTGGCAACAGTCCAGATAGTAGAATCTGTGTCAAACTGTGTCCCTAAGTGAGGACTATGTGAAGCAGAGCACCTCTCTCCAATCTAAACAATGGACTTGTAGAACATGTAGTAATGAGGGAGAAACAGACTTTACTGACTTTAAACAAATGATATTTTGGTGTTTAATCATAGCACATATTAGCATATCATAATTAACATAATTTATTCTGTAAGTTTCAGTATTTCATTATATTGAATATTATTTTTTTGTGGCAAAATATACAAAGACATGGGATATCTTTTCATTTACTTGGGTCTTCTTTCTTTCACCAATATTTTGTTGTTTTTAGTTTATAAATCTGTCACTTCCATGTTTACGTTTCAAGATTGTTTTGGCTATTTGGGTTTCCCTGTGACTCCATATGAGCATTAGGAAGAGTTTGTCTATTTCTGAAGAAACTATCATTTAGATTTTTATAAGAATTACATTGAAACCAAGCATAGCTTTGGGGAGTATTGATATGTTAACAATAGTAAGTTTTTGAATCTATTAACAATGGCTAGCATTCCAATTATTTACATTGCTTTTAATTTCTTTCAGCAATGTTTTTTATTTTCTTTGATATTTTCTTTGCTATCAGTCTTTTGTCTTCATGTATATCCTTACTTTCTTCATTATTTTATTTATTTCATTATTATTTTATTTTCTTCATTATTAATCTTTCACCTCCAAGTATTCCCAAGTTTTTTTTTATTATTATTTTCTATTGTGGTAAGATATACGTAGCATAAAAATCACTATTTTAATTATTTTTAAGTGTATGGGTCAATGGCATTAAGTATATTCACCTTCTTGTGTAATCATCACACTGTTTATCTCCAGGATTTTTTATCACCAGAAACCAAACCTCTGTGCCTATTAAACAATAATTCTCCATTCTCCTGACCACCAGCCCCTAGTAGCCATTATTCTACTTTCTATCTCTATGAATTTGTCTACTCTGGAAAGCTCATGTTACAGGAACCATACAATATTTTTACTTTGGTGACTGGCTTAATGTCTCCACTTAGCATAATGTCTCTATGGTTTGTCCATATCATCAGATGTGTCAGAATTTTATTTGTTTTTGTGGTTAGATAATAGTCCATTGTATGTACCTACCACATTTATTTATCCATTAATCTGTTGATTGACACTGGATTTTTTCTATCTTTTGACTATGGTGAATAATGCTGCTATGAAAATGGTGTATACATATCTATTTGAGTCCCTGCTTTCACTTATATTGGGTATATACCCAGAATTGGGATTGCTGGATCATATGGTAATAATTGTATATGGAATTGCCATACCATTTTCCATAGCACTTGTACCATGTTACACTACCACCAGCAATGCATGAGTGTTCCAATTTCACCACAGCTTCACTAACACTCGTTATTTTCTGTTTCTTTTTTCTTTGTTTTCTTTTCTTAGATAACAGGTGTCAGGAATTCAGCTGAACTAGAGGGAGAAAGAGGAGAGAGAGAGAGAGAGAGAGTGCATGCTGAGCTGTTAGATGGGGGAATATCTGATTAAAGCAGCAAGCCAAAAATGAAAGAGTGAATCCTTCAATGGCTTACTGCAATGGTATAAGCAAGAAGCTAAAACCAGAAACAGTGCAAACACACTGTGTTCCATTTCCCCTGGTGCACTCATGAAGGGTCACTTGAATCAGTACGAAAGTGGGATGTATCTTACTGTTGAGAAAGCTCCCAAATGAAAGGCTCTAGCAGTTTTATGTCTCTGGGCTTAAAGGGAAAGCTAAAAGTGGAAAAGAACTGGGTACTGAGTCAGAGTGGAAAAGTGCTTTCAAATTTTTCTCCTCCTTACTCCCATTAGGAGGCCTTGGCAGAAGGGCTTGAAGAGAACCTTTGCAAAAGGTCTCAGACAAAGAGATTGAAGAATGAAGGCACCAGGGCTAGGAGTGTACATATGTGATGAGCATGACTGGACAAGAGAGGCTGAGAACTTGATTGCAACTCTCTCTAGAGACTGTAATAAAATGGCTCTGCCTTAAGTCTGGTGTAGAGAGGGCAATTTTCCCCTGTGATGCCTGTCAGGTTGTTGTCTACAGTCTGGCCTGAAAAATTACACATAGGTTTTTAACCAGGCACCTTGCTCTTCAGTAGGCATCTTAACAGAGTGAAGTGATATCTCATTTTGTTTTGATTTGCTTTTCCCTAGTGACTAGGGATAGTAAGAATCTTTTCATGTGCTTATTAATCATTTGAATATATATATGTTGGAGATATGTTTGAGTCCTTTGTCCAATTCTTAATTGGGTTGATTGTTTTTTGTTGTTGTCCAGTTACAGAAATTCTTTATGTATTGTAGATATCAATCTCTTATCATATATTAAATTTGCAAGTATTTTTTCCATCCCACAGACTGCCTTTTCACATTTTTGCCAGCATTCTTTAATATATAAAAACTTTTTAATTTTGATGGAGTCCAACTTAACTAGTTTTTCCATTGTTCCCTGTCCTTTGGTATTTTATACAAGAAATCATTGCCAGACTCAAGGTCATTAAAGTTTTCTTTTTTTTTTTCTAAGAGTTTTCTAGTTTTAACTTTTATGTTTAGGTCTCTGATCAATTTGGAGTTAATTTTTGTACATGGTATAAGGTAAGGGCCCAATTTCTTTTTGCGTGTGTTCTGTGGATATCCAGTTTTCCCAAAACCATTTGTCAAAGAAATTGTCCTTTCCCCATTAAATGGTCATGATATCCTTGTAGAAAATCATTGTGATAATGTGAGGTAATGTATAAATATTAATATGTGTGTAATGAATGAAAAATGTGTAATAAAATCGAGGTTGTGTGTTTCCTGACATTTATGTGAGGGTTTATTTCTGGGCTCTTTATTCTATTCTACTGGCCTATGTATCTGTCTTTATACCATTACCACACTGTTATGATTACCATGGGTTTGTGGTAAGTTTTGAAATCAGGAAGTGCAAGAAGCCACTAAACTTGGTTTTTTCCAAGTTGTTTTGGCTACAGGGGTCCTTTGATATTTCATATGAATTTTAGAATAACATTTTATATATCTACAAAAAAGTAACTCATATTACATTTTGTAGTTATTATTATTTTATTGATGTATAATATTTTACATATTCATGGGGCACATATCAGTATTTTTTACATGCATAGAATGGGTAATGATGAAGTCAAGGTATTTGGAGTGTCCATCACTTTGAGTGTTCATCATTTCCATGTGTTGGTAACATTTCTAGTCCTCTTTTCTTGCTATTTTGAAATATAAAATATATCGTTGCTAAGTGTAGTCACCCTAGTCTGCTATCAAACATTAAAACGTACTTTTTCTACCTAACTGTAAATTTGTACCCATTCACTAACCACTCTTCCTTTTCCCCTCACACCCTGATACTTTTTCCTGCCTCTGGTATCTATCATTCTATTCTCTATCTCCATGAGATCAAGTTCCTTAGATCCCACACATGTGTGAGATCATGCAATATTTGTCTTTCTGTGTCTGTGTTATTTAATTTAACATAATGACCTCCAGTTCCATCCATTTCTGAAAATCACACAGTTTCACTCTTTTTATGGCTAAAAATTATCCTATGATGTATATACCACATTTTCTTTCTCAATGAATCCATTGATGGAAACTTAAGTTTATTCCATATCTTTGCAATTGAGAATAGTGTTGCAATAAACATGTGTATGCAGGTATTCATTTGATACATTGATATACTTTCCTTGGGATAAATACCCAATAGTGGGATTGGTGGATCATGTAGTAGTTCTATTTTCAGTTTTTTGAGAAATGTCCATACTCTTTTCATAGTGGCTGCATTAATTTACACTCCATACAGCAGTGTATAGAGTTCCCTTTTCTCCCTATCCATGCCAATGTGTGTTACTTTTTGTCATTTTAATAGAAGCCATTCTAACTAAGGTAACACGATATCTCATTGTGGTTTTGGTTTGCATTTCTCTGATGATTAGTGACAATGAGCATTTTTCACATGCCTATTGGCCATTTGTATGTCTTCTTTTGAGAATTGCCTAGTTATTTCTTTTGCCCACTTAAAAAGGATTATTATTTCTTTATTGTTGAGTTGTTTGATTTCCTGGTATATTCCAGATTTTATTCCCTTATTGTATGAGTAGTTTGCAAATATTTTGTCCCATTCAAACGTTATCTCTTTATTCTTTGATGGTTTCATTTACTGTGCAGAAGCTTTTTAGTTTAATATAGTGCTATTTGTCTATTTTTTAAAACTTTAAGTTCTAGGATACATGTGCAGAACGTGCAAGTTTGTTACATAGGTATACATGTGCCATGGTAGTTTGCTGCACCTATCAACCTGTCATCTAGGTTTTAAGCCCCACATGCATTAGGTATTTGTCCTAATGCTCTCCCTCTCCTTGCCCCCCACCCCCTGACAGGCCCTTGTGTGTGATTTTTCCCTCCCTGTGTCCATGTGTTCTTATTGTTCAACTCCCACTTATGAGTGAGAACATGCAGTGTGTGGCTTTCTGTTCCTGTGTTAGTTTGCTAAGGGTGATGGTTTCCAGCTTCAGACATGTCTCTGCAAAAAACATGAACTCATCCGTTTTTATGGCTGCATAGCATTCCATGGTGTATATGTGCCACATTTTCTTTTTCCAGTCTATCGTTGATGGACATTTGGGTTCGTTCCAAGTCTTTGCTATTGTGAATAGTGCCACAATAAACATATGTGTGCATGTGTCTTTATGGCAGCATGATTTATAATCCTTTGGGTATGTATCCAGTAATGGGATGGCTGGGTCAAATGGTATTTCTGGTTCTAGTTCCTTGAGGAATCATCACATTGTCTTCCACAATGGTTGAACTAATTTACACTCCCCCCAACAGTGTAAAAGCATTCCTATTTCTCCACATCCTCTCTAGCATCTGTTGTTTCCTTACTTTTTCATGATCACCATTCTAACTGGAATGAGACTGTATCTCATTGTAATATCTGGGCTGGAATGCACAGTTCCTCATGGCACAGTCCCTTATGGCTTCCCTTGGCTAGGGGAGGGAGTTCTCTGACTCATTGCACTTCACGGGTTAGGCGACAGCACACCCTGCTTCAGCTCTTTCTCCGTGGGCTGCACCCACTTTCTAACCAGTCCCAATGAGATGAGACAGGTACCTCAGTTGGAAATGCAGAAATCACCGTCCTTCTGCGTTGATCTCGCTGGGAGCTGCAGACCAGAGCTGTTCCTATTTGGCCATCTTGCCAGCCCTCCTAATGAACACATCTTAAAACCTAAGAAATTGAATCTTACTGGTACCTTGCATCTATTTCTATGCTATGCAATCTTTTGGGGGTCTTCCCTTAAATGGAAGGGTTGCAGTCATAATTTGATCTTAAATATGCTATGATGTGCTCTCAGTGTTCCTTGATACTCTTTGTTGCCAAAATTTGTAAACACTAATGTAAATTCTAAGTTCAGAGCAGTTCAGAGAAGAAAGATATTAGCTGGAGAAAATTGGAAACTTTTTTTGACAGGACAGAGATATAATCTCTTACTAAAAGGGTGATGAATAGGTCTTTGTAATCATGAAGAAGACAGTGAAGAAAATTCACGTGGAGGAAACATTCTAATAAATGGTGCAGATTTGGGAATGGATATTTCATATTGAAGGATAATGAGGATATTTCCTGGTTATATTAGAGAGTTTGTGTTGGATAGTATTGAAATAGATATATGTAAAAATAGTTTGGGGCCATATTTTGAAGTATCTTAAATGCAAATTTGTAGAGTTCGAAATTGTCTCAAAAACAATGGGAGATATTTTACGTTTTTGTTTAGAGACATGGTAGGGTATAAGGGCTATAAGATCAAGAATCATTGTCTCTTTGGTTTAACACTTCATTCAACAAATATAAATTGACACCTTACTATGTGCCATGCGTAATAGTAAGGGGTCAATTTATATCAAATAGTATTTGTTGAATGAAGAAATTGTAACACGCAAGAGACTAGATGCAGGAAGATCATTTTTGAGGCCATTCAATTAAAGACCTTGCCCAGAGTGGTAGCAGTGGGAATAAAAACGAAAATTGGGACAAATGTTATAAGCACAACAGGAAACTGTCGTTAAAAAAAAAGCATCTTAAGTACTAGCCAGCACTAAAATTGGTAACTACAGTATTTAATTTGAGTGTAGAATTCATATGTGCTAATGTAAAGAATGAAGTGGATGTTTTTGAGCAATTTGAGGTCCAAGTAAGGGTAAAGAGTGGGTTCATTGAGTATGAGGATTTGAATATTTTTTATTTAAATTTTCTCATTTGGGAACATGAATGACCTGGAGAATGGTAACAATTAGTAAGTATTATATTTCAGAATTCCTAAATAGGCATTCTTTCATCTATCATGCATTATGGCAATAAGCAGACTGCTTTTAGTATCATTCTCATCTGTAAACCGAGGATAACAGTAATTACTACATAGGGTTTGTATAAGTATTAAATGAGTTAATAAATGCAAAGCCGTTAGTAGAGTACTTGGCACATAAAATGATGAATATTTTGTAGTGGAGTTAATACTAAATCAGTAGTAACTTCTGGTTGAACATTTATCTGATAAATTGTTTCTAAAACTCAACTTCTATTAAAGGTTTTAGGACTCCTTAGATATAGAGTATTATACATATTACACCCCCCCACCCCTTTTTAACCTTTCTTGGCCTTTGGTTGAATCTATATTAAGATACTTGATTGATGTTCTTAGTCTATTACATTTTGGCTGAGTCTGCCTTGGGAAAAATAAATAATTTGTTCCTTTTAATATAGTATAATCTTCTAACTTCTTTGCTTTTCATACTAGGACATATTTGATATTGGAAGTAAATGAGGCATTAAGCCATTGGGCTTATGTATTTCTGCCAACATTGAAATCTGCTCCTGATTTCTCAAAAGAAGAAAAGAAATACCTCAAATGTCCTGAGTAATATATAAACCAGGTCATTTCCTTTAAAGGCCTTTTTTGGGAGAAAAATATAATCTTTATACTTTTGATTATTAAAAAAAAAAGTGTGAAGATTAACTTGATATGGGAATTTAGGATATGAATATCCTGATTAATTACTAAACCATGAATATAGTAAGCCTTCTTTTGAGCTATACTTGGAGAATTTTTGTTCAATTTTTATTTAAAAAGTCCCCAGGATGATACCTGTAGATATTTATTGTAAACATTGAACAAATGTTTCAATTGAATTTTCTGGCAAATACTATCTTTACCTCTTCAGGTATCCACAGCCAGTCCTCCATAACCTTGGGTTCCACACTCATAGATTCAACCAACTAAAGACGAAAAATATTTAAAAAAGAAAAAAAAAACAATACAACAATAAAATTAAAATTAAAATACAGTATAACAACAATTTACATAGCATTTACATTGTATTAGGTATTATAAGTAACCAAGAGATGATTTAAAGTGTTCATAAAGATGTGCATAGGTTATATGCAAATACTATGCCATTTTCTATAAGGTACTTAAGCATCTCTAGATTTTGGAATACACAGGAGGCCCAGGAACCAATCCCCAGTGAATACTGAAGGATGAATGTAGTCTTTTTTTTTTTTTTAAAGAATATCACAGATGGCTGACTAGATACAGCCAGAAGGAACATCTGTCACTGAGAAATTGGGACATCAGGAATACTGGCACACTATGAGTAGACCTTCGGAGGGAAGGCACTGAGAATGGATGGAGAGAGGACACAGATGCTGGGTTGAAGGGGGAGGAAGCTGGGAATCCTGCACAGGGCTACTGAGCACTGGGAAATGTTCCTGGCCCCCAGAAATTTCTGGGGAAAGGGTGAATACAACAGGAAAAAAGTGGCCCACTCTCACCACGGACCTCTGGCATCTTGGTAGTAGGAGACCCCACAACCCCGATGGACACTTGAGCTGTAAGAGAGCTGCTTAAAGGGATGTTAGGGGCAGGATTTCAGCCTATGTGGAGCCCAGAGCATTTGGTGTGGGAACGTATGCAGTTGATCATGGCCAGGGAGATGCATCCCCCAAGTCTCACCATGTTCCCGTAAGAGACATTAGCCTTGGGCTGGCTTTTGGACCCAGACAGAGCAGGGAAGTCTTGCCCATGAGATGAGGCAAATTCAATCTGAACACAGTCATGTCTGCTTGCCTCTCCAGGGCCCCAGCCTGTCCATGCCCAGTTGCCATGCAGCCTCAGATGCTCAAACTGGGTGTGAACTTGCGGCCTTCATCATAGCTCCTTTAATGACAGATTATGCCTGACCTTCAGAGAGCTCCAACAGAGTAGCCTCTGCTGACATTCACCAGTCCACCAGCATCCTCCCTCAACTGCAGCCTCCCCTGTGCCACTTTGCAGGCACACACATGCCTATGGCCAACCATTCATTGCTTTGCTGGCATGGGTGAATGGGTAGACTGCAGCTCCCTTTCCCCACCAGCATGTGTGTGTGCATGCACCCTGTCACGCCACTGCTGGTGGCAAGAGCAAATCCCTTGTGCTCGACCACTGATATGTAGACATTGGGCCACTTTGCCATTGCAAGCGTGAATGCATGTATGGATGCCAGAAACCCTGCTCCCTCTTGTGCTGACACTGCTGCTGATACAAACACACACATGGATGTGGGCCAGCATCCACACTCCCCTATGTTACCATTGCTGTTGCTGCAAATGTGTGCATGGAGGTAGCCTTACATCAGCCAGCACCCTGCCCCAACTGTTGCCACCAGTGTGACAGTGAGCATACACACCAGCAACCCCATGCCTACCAGTACCCTGCCCCTCTATGCCACTGACAGCACTGGCATGAATCCATGCAGAAATGCAGCAGTCCTGCTCTTACCAGTACTCCACCCCAGCCAACTTGTGTGCATCTTGTCATACTGCCACAGCTGCTGTACTCACAAGCAAGCATGAATCCTGCTGCCACTTACCTGACAATGTGCTTTGGCTGGCATCACCCATTGGAATGTTGTAGCTAGCAGACTGAGAACACATCAGTCTCTCTAGTGAAGCAGGTTCATAACCTTGAAGGGCCAGAGAACCAAGGCAATGGCCTGGTACCAGCCCCCCAGAGTTAGTGCACACAGCCCAGGATTGCTGAGCTGAGACTTGCCCCCCTAAAATCTTCCAGAAATGAAGCCAGTCAACTGAATCCACCTTATACCAAAATCAAACCCTCAAGGGCATCAAAGAAGATAAAAGGAAAGGAAACTCATCCAAAAGATACCAACTTCAAAGATTGAAGGAACATCAGCCCACACAGAAGAGAAACAACCAGCACAAGAACTCTGGAAACTCAAAAAGTCAGAGTGTCTACTAACATCCAAATGACTACTCTACTTCTTTAGCCATGGTTCTTAACAAGGCCAAAATGACTGAAATTACAGAAATAGTGTTCAGAATATGGGTAGGAACAAAAATCATTGAGATTCAGGAGAAATTCAAATCCCAATGCATGGAACCTTCAGAATACATGAAAATGATACAGGCGATGAAAGATAAAATAGTCATTTTTAAAAAGAAGCAAACTGGACAGAGGTGAAAAACTCACTACAAGAATTTCATGATACAATCACAAGTATTAACAGCAGAATTGACCAAACTTAGTAAAGAATCTCAGAGTGAAAAGAGTGGTTCTCTGAAATAACTCAATCAGACAAAGATTTTAAAAAATAATGAAGGATAAACAAACACTCTGAGAAATATGGGATTATATAAGGAGACCAAATCTGATTCATTGGTGTCCTTGAAAGAGAGTGAGGGAAAGTAAGCAACTTGAAAATAATTTGAGAATATCATCCTTGAAAATCAGCCCAAACTTGCTAAAGAGGCCAACATTCAAATTCAGGAAATGCAGAGGAACCTTGCAAGACACTATGCAAGATGACCACACCTAAGACACATAGTCATCAGATTTTCTAAGGTTAACATGAAAGAAAAGATGTTAAAAACACATAGAGAAAAGTGGCAAGTCACCTACAAATGAAACCCAATCAGGCTAACAGTGGACCTTTCAACAAAATCCTACAAGCCACAGGAGATTGGAGGTCTATATTCAGCACTATTAAAGAAAACAAATTCCAAACAAAAATTTCATATTCAATCAAACTAAGTTTCATAAGCAAAGGAAAAATAAGATCCATTTCAGATAAGCAAATGTATGTGAATTTGTAACCTACCACCACGTCAGACTTACAAGAGGTCATCAAAGGAGTGCTAAATATGGAAAGGAAAGATTGTTATTGGCCACCACAAAAATTCACTTGTGTTCATAGGCCATTGAAACTTTAAATCAATCATGGGATCAAGTCTGCATAATAACCAGCTAACAAGATGATGACAGAATCAAAACTGCACATATCAATATTAAACTTGAATGTAAACAGGGTAAATGACCAAATTAGAAGGCACAGAGTGGTAAGTTGCATAAAGAAGCAAGACCCAATTGTATGCTGTCTTCAAGAGACACATCTCACAGACAATGACATGCATAGGCACAAAGTAAAGGGATGTAGAAAAATCTACCAAGAAAATTCCCCCAAAATTGGAGGTTGTTATTCTAATTTCAGACAAAACAGACTTTAAACCAACAATGATTTTAAAAGACAAAGAAGGGCATTACATAAGGGTAAAAGGTTCTATTCAACAAGAAGACTGAACTTTCCTAAAAATATATGCCACTCAACACAGTGGCACCTGGGTTAATGAAGTAAGTCCTTAGAGATCTATGAAGAGATTTAGATCATGACAAAATAATAAAGATGAGAACACTCCACTGAGATTATTAGACAGATCATTGAGGCAGAAAACTAACAAAGACACATGAGACCTGAACTCAACACTTGACTAAATAGACCTAACAGACATCTATAGAACCCTTAGCCTCCAAACCAATAGGATATACATTCTTCTCATCTGCATATGGCACATATTCTAAAATCAACCACAGAATCAGCTATAAAGAATTCTCAGCAGAGTCAAAAACACTAAAATCATGCCAACCACACTCTTGGGTTACAGAGCAATAAAAATAGAAATAAATACTAAGAAAATCACTCGAAACCATACAATTATATGGAAATTAAACAAAGAAAACCCCATAGTCTCTGCCCCAAAGCTCCAAATCTGATAAAGAACTTCAGCAAGGTTTCAGCATACAAAATCAATTTACAAAAGTTAGTAACATTCCTATACACCTACACTGAAGCTGAGAGCCAAATCAAGAACACAATCCCATTCACAGTAGCCACAAAAATAATAAGATACCTAGGAATATAACTAACCAAGAGGTGAAAGATCTTTACTATAAAAATTACAAAACACTGCTCAAAGAAATCAAAGCTGACAAAAACAAGTGATAAAACATTCCATACCCATGGATAGGAAGAATCAATATTGTTAAGATGGCCATACTGCCAAAAGCAATTTACAGATTCAGTCTTATTTCTAACTACTAATGATATCTTTCAGATAGTTAGACAAAGCCATTTTAAAATTCATATAGAACAAAAAAAAAAAAGAGCTCAAAGTGCCAAGGCAATCCTAGGCAAAAAGAACAAAGCTAGAGGCAACATATTACCCGGTTTCAAGCTATACCACAGGGCTACAGAAACCAAAACAGCATGGTACTGGTACAAAAACAGACACATAGATCAATGGACCAGCACAGAGAACCCATAAATAAGACCACACAGCTACAACTAACTGATGTTCGACAAAAGTGACCAAAATGAGCAATGGGGAAAGGATTCCCTACTCAATAAGTAGTGCTGGGATAACTGGCTAGCTATATGCAGAAGATTGAACATGAACCTATTCCTTTCATTATATACATAAATCAACTAAAGATGGATTAAAGTCTTAAAAATAAACCTAAAACTATAAAAAGCTCTAGACGAAAACCTAAGAAATACCATTCTGGACATAGGCTCTGGCAAATATTTCATACAAAGACAACTAAAGCAATCACAACAAAAGCAAAAATTGACAAATGGGACTTAAATACATTAAAGAGCAGCTTCTTCACAGCAAAAGTAACTATCCACAGAGTAAACAGATCACATAAAGGATGGGAGAAAATATTGACAAACTATGCATCTGGCAAAGACCTTATATCCAGAATTCTATAAGCAAGTCAAGCAAATTAGAAAGCAAAAAATAAAAAAAAATTAAAAGAGGGCAAAGTACATAAAGTGACACTTCTCAAAAGAAGACACATATATGGCCAACAAGCACATGAAAAAATGCTCAACATCACTAATCATTAGAGAAATGCAAATCAAAACCACAATTAGATATCATCTCACAACAGTCAGAATGGCTGTTATTAAAAAGTAAAAAATTACAGATGTTGCTGAGGCTGCAGAGAAAAGCACTTTTGGTGGGAATGTTAAATTAGTTCTGCCATTGTGGAAAGCAGCTTGGTGATTCCTCAAAAAACTTAAGACAGAATTACCATTCCACACAGCAATCCCTTTATTGGGTATATACCCAAAGGAATAGAAACCGTTTTACAATAAATACATATGCATGTGTATGTTCATTGCAGCACTATTCACAATAGCAGAGAAATGGAATCAACCTAAAATCCATTAATGGTAGACTGGAGAAAGAAAATGTTGTACATATATATCATGAAATACTACACAACTGTAAAAAATAACCAGATTATGTCATTTGCAGCAACACAGATGGTGCTGGAGGAACTAACAGAGGAACTTATACAGAAACAGAAAACCAAATGCTGCATGTTTTCACTTTAAAGGGGGAGCTAAGCATTGATTAAACATGGACATAATAAAGAGAACAATAAACGCCAGGGCCTATTTGAGGGTGGAGGGTGGGAGGAGGGTGAGAAATGAAAAACTACCTATAGTGTACTATCCTTATTACTGAGGAGATGAAATAAACTGTATACCAAATCCCCATGACATGCAATTGTCTATATAACATCTGTCATCTTGAACCTAAAGTAAAATTTATAAAAAAATAAATAATTATAATATAAAAAGTGGGATGAGGAAACAGATTGCCAGTTTGAATCTTGCCCCACTTTTTTGCACTCTTTTTCCCAGTTGAAAAATGGGCATCATGACAGTGCCAGTATTACAGTTTTGTTGTGAGGATTAAGGGGGTTAATACAGGTGTAGCTTATTTTATTGTGTTTCCCCTTATTGCACTTCTCAGATATACATATTTACAAATTTAAAGTTAGTGGCAACCCTTCCTCAAGAAAGTCTTTCAGTGACATTTTTCCTAAATGAACTGTGCTCACTTTGTGTCTCCATGTCACATTTTTTTGTAATTCTTGTGATATTTCTAACTTTATTAGTATTATTATATACGATTATTATTATATCTATTAAGATGATCTGTGATCAGTAATCTTTGATGTTACTATTATAATTGCTTTGAGGCACCACAAACTGCACCCATAAATAATGGCGAACTTAATTGATAATTGTTGTGTGTGTTCTGACTGTTTCAATGGCCAGGTGTTACCCTCTCTCCCTCTACTTGGGCCTCCCTATTCCCTGGGACATAACAATATACAAATTAGGCCAGTTAATAACATCAAAATTGACTTTAGGTGTTCAACTCTTTCACTTTAAATCAAAAGTCCAAAATGTTTAAGCTTAGTAAAGAAGGCATGCCAAAAGTTAAGATAGGTCAAAAGCTAGGGCTCTTTTGCCAGTTAGCCAAATTGTGAATATCAAGGAAAAGTTCTTGAAGGAAATTGAAAGTGTTACTCTGAACGCACCAATGATAAGAAGAATAAGCAGACTTATTGCTGATATGGAGAAAGTTTGAGTAATCTGAATAGAAGGTCAAAGTAGCCACATCATTGCCTTAAACTGAAACCTAATCCACAACAAGGCCCTAACCCTCTTCAATTCAATGAAGACAGAGAGATGAGAAAGCAGCAGGAAAAAAGTTTGAATTTTGCAGAGGTTGTTTCAATGAGATTTAAGGAATGAAGCCATCTTCATAACATAAAAGTGCAAGGTGAAGCATCAAGTGCTGAGGGAGAAGCTGCAGCAAGCTGCTGAAGATTGTGTTAATTAATGAAGGTAGCTACACTACACAACAGATTTTCTTTTTTTTTTTTTTTTTTATTATACTCTAAGTTTTAGGGTACATGTGCACATTGTGCAGGTTAGTTACATATGTATACATGTGCCATGCTGGTGCGCTGCACCCACTAACGTGTCATCTAGCATTAGGTATATCTCCCAATGCTATCCCTCCCCCCTCCCCCCACCCCACCACAGTCCCCAGAGTGTGATATTCCCCTTCCTGTGTCCATGTGATCTCATTGTTCAATTCCCACCTATGAGTGAGAATATGCGGTGTTTGGTTTTTTGGATGAAATAGCCTTCTATTGGAAAAGAAGGCTTTTTCCAATAGAAAAACTGCACATGTGGTGGATATAGCAAGAGAACTAGATTAGAAGTGGAGACTGAAGGTTTGCCTGAATTGCTGTAATCTCATGATAAAACTTGAGCAGATGAGTTGGTTCTTATGGATGAGCAAAGAAATTGGTTTCTTGAGGTGGAATCTACTCCTGGTGAAGATGCTGTGGAACATTTTTGAAATGACAACAAAGGACTTAGAATGTTACATAAACTTAGCTGATAAAGTGGTGGCAGAGTTTGAGAGGATTGACTCCAAGTGTGAACGTTCTACTGTGGGTAAAATGCTATCAAACAGCATCACGTGCCACAGAGAAATCTTTCATGAAAGGAAGAGTCAATTAATGAGGCAAATGTTACCATTGTCTTATTAAAAATTTCCTCAGGCACCTCAACCTTCAGCAACCACCATGGTATTCAATCAGCAGCCATCAACACTGAGACAGAACACCAACCAAGAAAAACACTGCAATTTGCTGAAAGCTCAGATGATTATTAGCAGTTTTTAGCAATAAAGTATTTTAAATTTAGACATGTACATTTTTAGACCAAAAAATAGTCTATTTCACTCTTAGTAGACTATAGTACAGTGTAAACATAACTTTTATATGCAAGGGGAAACCAAAAAAATCATGTAACTTGCTTTATTGTGATATTTGCTTCATTGTAGTGGTCTGGAACTGAACTCAGTATCTCTGAGGTATACCTGTACATATGAAGTGCTTAAAACAATATTCAGCATGTATTAAACGGTCTATAGATATATCTATTGTTACTATTGTTTGACTTTAGAAAATTATCACACTTGGGTGTCTTTTTTTATCACTTCATATTATGTGTGTATATGCATGTGTGTGTATGTGTGCAGCAGTATAAGTGGATATTTCAGGATGTCAGTTTTCAATTTCCTGCTGGCTTTTGAAAGGCTACTTAAAACATGTATGAAAAAATTATTCTAACATTGATGACTGAATTTCTGTATCTTTGATAGATGACAATTTTCTTCATTCATTCAAACAACCTGAGGCACTATATTTCCCTTATACATTTCTTACTGTAAAAAATTCTAAAATAGTATATGACTACATAAAGATATTCATAAATGTTTATGGGTATCAAGATAAGATGTTACTTTTTGAAGGAGTTAATCATTCTCTTTAGTTGAATGGCAAGTTTATTATTTTAAATAATCTTATAACTTTTACTTGTGTATAAAACTGTTTAGAGTTTAGACTGTAGGCTAGATGAGAGGTTATCTAACATCTTTATAGTGAGGAACTGACATTTAGAAACTCATAACAATGAGGATTGTGTTAAAAGATTGTAATAGAATATAAGCTTCAATTTCATGTGTATGATAAGTTTAACCACTATTCTTTAAAATAGTTATGCTTGACTTTTGGCCTTGCTGGCATTTGTAATTCACAATATAGAGGCTGATTTTGAAAAACATCACGTTTTCTGTGAATAAGCATTCTTTATTTTGAATTCTCCTCAGTTTTCATGGTTCTTTTATATCCAGTTTTCTTCTTTCATGCATTCAGAATTTACTTCTGTCTCAATAAATATATTCATAATCCTAAAATATTTTCTTAAAACTCCAGTCTGCAATGGATTTATCATCAGAGAGGAAGAAGCTTTTGTCACTGATATAAATAGATTTACTTTAGACATTTCAAGTAGATTATGATAGCCACTAATAGCCAATAACATTTCTTAATAATTTCAACTTTTATTTTAGATTTGGGGGTATGTGTACAGGTTTGTTACCTGGGCATATTGCATGATGCTGAGGTTTGAAGTACAATTGATCCCATAACCCAGGTACTGAGGATAGTACTCAACCTACTACTAATACTCAACTTTTCAACCTGCCCCCTTGCTCTACACCCCCCCACAGTAGCCCCCAGTGTCTATTTTTGCCATCCTTATGTCCATGAGTACCCATGGTTTAGCTCCCATTTTTAAGTGATAACATGTGGTATTGGTTTTCTGTTCCTGTGTTAGTTTGCTTAGGATGATGGCCTCCGGCTCCATCCAGGTTGCTGCAAAGGACAAGATCTCATTTTTTTATGGCTGTGTAGTGTTCCAGGGTGTATATGTACTATATTTTCTTTCTCTGATCCACCATTGATGGGCACCTACATTGATTTCATGTCTTTGCTATTATGAATAGTGCTGTGAGTTATATACAAGTGCATGTATCTATTTGGTTGAATAACTTATTTTCTTTTGGGTGTATACCCAGTAATGGAATTGCTGGGTCAAATGATAATTGTTTTAATTTCTTTGAGAAATCTCCAAACTACTTTGCACAGTTGTTGAACTAATTTATACTCCCACCAACAGTGTATAAATTTCCTTTTCTTTGCAACCTTGCCAACATTTGTTATTTTTTGACCTTTTAATAATAACTATTCTGACTGTTGTGAGATGGTATCTCATCATGGTTTTGATTTGCCTTTCTCTAATAATTGGTTATGTTGAGCAATTTTCATATGCTTTTTAGCCATCAGTATGTCTTCTTTTGAGAACTGTCTGCTCATGCATTTTGCCCAATTTTTAATGTGATTATTTGTTTTTTGCTCCTTAAGTGACTTACAGATTTTGGATATTAGACTTTTGTCAGATGCATAGTTTGTCAATATTTTCTCACACTCTATAGATTGTCTGTTTACTCTGTTGATAGTTTCCTTGAGTGTAGAAGCTTTTTGGTTTAATTGGATCCCACTTATCAATTTTCGTTTTTGTTGCAATTTCTTTTGAGGACTTAGTTATAAATTCTTTCCTAAGGCTGATGTCCAGAATGGTGTTTCCTAGGTCTTCTTCTAGGATTACTCTCATTTGAGGTCTTACATTTAAATGTTTAATCCATCTTATGTTAATTTTTGTATATGGTGAAAGGTAGAGGTCCACTTTAATTCCTCGGCACGTGGCTAGCCAGCTGGCCCAGCACTATTTTTTGAATAGAGAGTTGTTTACCTGTTGCTCATTTTTGTCAACTTTGTCAAAAATCAGGTGACTGTAGGTGTGTGGCCTTATTTCTGGGTCCTGTAATCTCTTCCCTTAGTGTATGTATCTGTTTTTGTAACAGCATCATGCTGTTTTGCTTACTGTAGCCTTATAGTATAATTTGAAGTCTGGTAATATTATGCCTCCAGCTTTTTCCTTTTTGCTTGGGATGACTTTGGCTACTTGGACTGATATTTGATTCCATATGAATTTTAGAAAGTTTTTCTTAGTTGTGTGAAAAATGACTTTAATGTTTTAATAGAAATAAAGTTGAATCTATGTATTGCTTTGGGCACTATGGTTATTTTAATATTGTTCTTTCAATCCATGGGCATAGAATTTTTTTTCATTTGTTTGTGACATCATTTATTTCTTTCAGCAGTGTTTTGTAGTTCTCCTTGTAGAGATCTGTCACCTTCTTGGTTAGATGTATTCTAGGATATTTTAATTTTTTGTGGCTATTTTAAATGGGATTGTGTTCCTGATTTGGCTGTCAGCTTGAATGTTATTAGTGTTTAGAAATGCTACTGATTTTTGTATGTTGATTTTGTTTCCTGAAATTTTATTAAAGTTGTTTATCAGTTCCAGGAGGTTTTTGATGGAGTCTTTAGAGTTTTCTAGGTATAGATCATATCATCAGTGAAGAAAGATAGTTTGACTTCTTATTTTCCTATTTGGATGTCTTTTTTACTTTCTGTTGCCCCATGGCTGTGGCATGAACTTCCAGTACTTTGTTGAATAGGACTGGTGAGAGTAGATATCACTGTCTACGTTCTGGATCTCAAGGGAAATGCTTCCTGTTTTTGTCCATTCAGTGTGATGTCTGTGGGTTTGTCATAGATGGCTCTTATTATTTTGAGGTATGTTCTTTTGATGTCCAGTTTCTTGAGGGTTCTTATCATGAGAGGATTTTGCATTTTATTGAAAGCTTTTTCTGGATCTATTAAAATGACCGTATGGTTTTTATTTTTTAATTCTGTTTATTTGGTGAATCACATTTATTGATTTTTGTATGTTGAAGCAACCTTGCATCACAGGAATGAAGTCTGCTTGATCATGGTGAATTACCATTTTGATATATGGTTGGATTCAGTTTGCTAGTATTTTGTTGAGGATTTTTGCATCGCTGTTCATCAGGGATATTGTCCCATAGTTTTCTGTTTTTCATTGTGTCTTTGCCAAGTTTTGTATGAGAGTGATGCTGGCTTCATAGAATGAGTTAGAAAGGAGTTCCTCTTCCTCAATTATTTTGGTACCAGCTTTTCTTTGTACATCTGGTAGAATTCAGCTGTGATTTCATCTGATCCAAGACTTTTTTGATTCATAGGTTCTTTATTCCTGATTCAATTTTGGAGCATCCTAGTAGGCTGTTCAGTGTTTCAATTTTTTTTCTGATTTAATCTTGGGAGATTATTTGTTTCCAAGAATTTATCCGTTTCCTCTAGCTTTGGTAGTATGTGTGCATAGAAGTGTTCATAACTGTCTCTGAAGATCTTTTGTATTGCTGTGGGATCAGTTGTAATGTTTCCTTTGTCATTTCTGATTGTGTTTATTTGGATTATCTCTCTCTCTGTCTCTTCCCCTCTCTCTGTTAATTTAACTAGCAGTCAATTGGTGCTGATGATCTCTTCAAATAATCAACTTTTGGTTCCTTTGATGCTTTGTAAGGATTTTAGGGTCTCAATGTTGTTCAGTTCTGCTCTGATATTAGTTATTTCCTTTCTTCTGCTATCTTTGAAGTTAGTTTGTTCTTGTTTTTCTGCTTCCTACAGGTGTGATAATAGATAATTAATTCAAGATATTTTTTCTATGGTAGGCATTTAGCACTATACATTTTTCTCTCAACATTCCTTTTGCTGCATCCCTGACGTTTTGTATGTTGTGTCTCTGTTTTCATTTATTTCAAATAATTTTTTGGTTTATGCCTCAATTTCATTGTTTACCCAAAAGTCATTCAGGAGCAAAGTGTTTAATTTTCATGTAATTGTGTAGTTTTGAAAGATCTTCTTTGTATTGCGTTTTGTCTTTATTCCACTGTGGTCCAAGACAATGGTTGGTACTACTTCAAGTTTTTTGAATTTACTAAGGCTCGCTTTATGGCTGAGCATGTTGTCTGTATTGGAGTATGTGCCATGTGCATATGAGAATAATGTACATTCTGTAGTAAATGAGTGGAATATTCTATAGATTTCTATTAGGTCCAATTGGTCAAGTGTTGAATTTCAGTCCAGAATTTCTCTGTTAGTTTTCTGCCTTTATGATCTGTCTGAGGCTGTCAGTGGTATGGTGAAGTTCCACACTATTGTTATGTGGCTGTCTAGGTCTTTTTGTAGGTCTAGAAGTACTTGTTTTATGAATCTGGTTGCTCCAATGTTAAGTGCATATATATTAAGGATAGTTGATTCTTCTTGTTGGATTAAACCCTTTATCATTTTGTATGCTCTTCTTTGTCCTTTTTTACTGTTGTTAGTTTAAATTGTGTTTTATCTGTTATAAGAATAGTGATTCAGGCCAGGCGCAGTAGCTTGTGCCTGTAATCCCAGCCTTTTGGGAGGCCGAGGCAGGTGGATTACCTGAGGTCAGGAGTTCGAGACCAAACTGGCCAACATGATGAAACCCCGTCTCTACTAAAAATACAAAAAAAATTGGCTGGGCATGGTGGTGGGCTCCTGTAATCCCAGCTACTTGGGAGGCCTGAGGCAGGACAATCACTTGAACCCAGGAGGTGGAGGTTGCAGTGAGCTGAGATCGTGCCACTGCACTCCAACTAGGGCAACAAGAGTGAAACTCCGTCTCAAAAAAAAAAAAAAGAAGAAGAATAGTGATTCCTACTTTTTTATGTATTCTATTTGCATGATAGATTTTTCTCCAACCCTTTTTTTTATTATACTTTAAGTTCTAGGGTACATGTGCACAATGTGCAGGTTTGTTACGTATGTATACATGTGCTCCAACCCTTTACTTTGAGTCTATGTGTGTTGTTATGTGTGAGGTGCATCTTTTGAAGAGAGAAGATGAATGGGTCATTTTTTTAAAATTTAACTTGACACTCTATGCCTTTTACTTGGGATGTTTAGACCATTTATATTCAAGGTTAATGTTGATATGTGAGATTTTGATCCTGTTGTGAAGTTATTAGTTGGTATCTTTGTAGTTTCTATTGTATAGTTGCTTTATAGGATCTGTGGGCTATGTACTGAAGTGTGTTTTCTTGGTAGCAGGTATTATTCTTTCATTTCAGTGTTTAGAACTCTTATAAGGATCTCTATAAGATTGGTTTAGTGATAACAAATTCCCTTAGCACTTGCTTGTCTGGAAAATATTTTATTTCTTATTTGCTTATAAAGCTAAATTTGGCAGAATATAAAATTCTTGGTTGGGCCGGGCGCGGTGGCTCACGCCTGTAATCCCAGCACTTTGGGAGGCCGAGGCGGGCGGATCACGAGATCAGGAGATCAAGACCATCCTGGCTAACACGGTGAAACCCCGTCTCTACTAAAAATACAAAAAATTAGCCGGGTGTGGTGGCGGGTGCCTGTAGTCCCAATTACTTGGGAGGCTGAGGCAGGAGAATGGCGTGAACCCAGGAGGTGGAGTTTGCAGTGAGTTCGAGATTGCACCACTGCACTCCAGCCTGGGCAACAGAGCGAGACTCCATCTCAAAAAAAAAAAAAATTCTTGGTTGGATTTTCTTTTCTTTAAGAATGCTGAAAATAGGCCCTCAATCTCTCTCGGCTTACAAGGATTCTGTTGAGAAGTCTGCTGCTAGCCTGATGGGATTCCTATTGCATATGATCTGACCTTTTCTTCTAGCTACCTTCAAGATTTTTTCTTTAGCATTGACCTAGGACAGTCTGATGACTATATGCCTTGGCGATGTTTGTTTTGTATAGTATCTCACAGGTGTTCTCTGAATTTTTTGTATCTTGATGTCTGCCTCTCAAGAAAGATTAGGAAACTTTTCTTGAATTATTCGCTCAAACATGTTTCCGGGTTGTTTGTTTTCTTTTTCTCCTTCTCTCTCAGGAATGCCAACCATTTGTAGATTTGGCCACTTTACATAATCCCATATTTCTCAAAGACTTTGTTCATTTTCAAAAATTCCATTTTTCTTTATTTTTGTCAGATTGGGTTAGTTTGAAAGACTAGGCTTCAAGTTCTGAAATTATTTCTTCTACTTGTTCCAGTCTATTGATAAACCTTTCAATTGTATTTTGAAATTTTAAGTGAGCTTTTCAATTCCAGAAGCTTTGATTGATTTCTTTTTAAGATTTATATCTATTCCTTCATTTCATGGATTGCTTTAGAAGTTTCTTTGTGTTGATTTTCAACCTTATCTTGGATCTCATTGAGTTTCCTTACAATCCATGCTTTGAGTCTTTTATTTGTCATTTCTGCATTTATATTTTGGTTAGGAATTATTGCTGGAGAGCTAGTGTGATTCCTTGGTGGTGTTAGTGTATTCACATATTTTTATGGTGCCAGAATTCTTGCACTGGTTCTTTCTGATCTGAAGATGCTGACACTTCTACTTTTTGAAGTTATTTTTGTGCAGGTAGGATTTTTCTCTTTTTCCCTATAATATTATTGTTTTTTTCTTTTTTCAGTTTCTCTTTCTCCCTCTCCCTTGGGGATGTGACTGTAGAGAATGCTGGGTAGTGTGTTTTGGCTTTGCTTCTGTAGCCTCATGCAATTCTGTCAGCAGGTTTTATATTGGACTGTGCAGTTTGACCAATAAGCCAGTAGGTGATGTTTCTGGGTAAGAGCCCACACTGGCCGATGTGGCTGGGTATATACTTGATTCTTGTTTACTGATAGAACCTCTCTGTCGCCTCAGGCAATGGCTGATTCTTAGAGTGCACAGCCGTCTGAGCTTACTTCTTAACTCCAGAGGGTTGGGGGGGCAAGATTGATGGGGTCAGACTGGGCAGGTCCACGTACTGGTGTCCTGATGGGAGGGGCAAGCACTAGTGCTGAATGAGAATCCATTGGGCAGCCACCAAGTGCCCAGAGATGTGTCTAGGTATGAAGCTGGGAAACCTCCCTAATCTCAAGATATCTGCACAAGGATAGGGGTATCCTAAACTCCTACTCCAGGAGGGTGGATGTTCCATATGCCTGGAGATTTGCTTGGACATGAAGTTGAGAGGATTCTCCTGCACCAAGATCTCTGCACTGAAGTGAGGAGAAACTCAGGATGCTGAACCAAACAAGTAGGTGCTCTGAATGCCTGGAGATGTGCCTGGGCACAGAGCCCAGAGGGCCCTGCTGCACCACAATCTATGCACCGGAAGGGTGGAGCAATTCAGGTTGCTGATCCAGGTGAGCAGGTGCTATGCATACCTGGAGATGTACCTAGTTTTGAAGCAGAGAGGGGCTCCCTGAACCGCAATCTATGTCCATGAAAAGCGGGGCAGCTCAGGCTGTTGCTCCAGGAAAGTGGGTGATTTGAGAGTCTGGATTTCTGTTTGTGGGTGAAGCAGAGAGGGTTTTTCTGTACCGCAACTTCAGGGGAGCAGGATGGGATACCCAGCAATGACACACACATATTGGTTCCAGGTTGCCAAGCTGGCCCTGGATGTAATTATCATTGTCCAGGAGAAATTGCAGCTGTAGCAGCTCTCCTCCCACTCAAAGTATGCAATAGGGGAGAGCACAATTCCAGCACCTGATGCTGAGGCAGTTTCCACAGTTCTGGCTGAGGAGGCCCCTACCCTACACCAGAGCAGGCCCTCCAAACTCTGGCCTGAAACTAAAATGTCTACACAGCCACGCTTCTGGGTTGCCACAGAATGGCTGACTTTGCATGAGCCTGGATTAAAAATGCCATCCTGATCTCAGCTCTGGGTCTTGGAAAATGAGTGCAGCTTTTCCTAGTGTCTTTCTCTCACAGCGTCTTTATGCCTCTCGCCAAGTTAGTTCCAAGACTTGGGAGAAAAAAAAGGGGGCTCTTTGGCCTAGGTTGCTCAGATTCCCCCGAGGAAAGGTGAGTCAAAGAGGGAGGCTTCTGCCTCTCTCATGTACTGGGGCTTCACTCACTTTTATCAGCCAGACATTGACAGAGGGGCTGTTTTCCCACGATCTCATCCCCAGGATTTGGGGTGTCCTTCATGACTCTGGTGTACTCCCATTTCCCTTCTTGTATTAAAGCACACAGTGTTTATCTTTATGAACTCTCTTGGTATTTCCAAGTGGCTGAGGCAAGCTAAAAGCCTCTAATGTGCCATCTTGAAAGAAAAACAAATAACATTTTAAATTATCTGTCATTTATTTGTCCATTAAAGCATTTAATAATTTTTAATATTTAGTTTAGATATATTTGTTGTATAAAATATATAAAACAACTCAATGTGTTTTAAGCCATTTAAATTTAATTTTATTTAATAAATTGGATAATTTAAATTATCCAATTTATTAAATAAAATTAAATTTAATAAATTTAAATTAATAAAAATTAAATTTAATAAATTTAAATTAATAAAAATTAAATTTAATACAACTAAATTTAATAAATTTAAATTTAATACAATTAAATTTAATAAATTTAAATTTAAATCCATAAACCTAAATATACTAGATTATTTAACCATGACTTTCATTACATGTATATAAAATATATATATAACAATACAGCTTATATATAATAATTACATAAATTAAAATTTCACTATATTATTTCATGTATTTGTTATAAAATTTACACTAGGGCCTTGATTTTACATATACAATACTCATTAGTTATTGCATGTGGAAGTTTTATTTTCCTTAGTGCGGATATTCAGGATTTCCATGTTTAATTATTTATCATGGCATCTTTTAGCAAACCCAAGCTATGGTTCATGTAAAACAGGAAGAGTATTTTTAATGAAAAAACACCATTAGGAAACCTTACTTCATTAACAATGTATCTTCTGATACTTCTTACATTTTAATTTCAGATACGTCTCTCCTGTGTCTCAGTTTCCATTTTATTTCCAAATATCCAACTATGGGGTCTATCAATCAAGATCAGTTTTTAGTAGTGATTTGTATTGTATCTACAATACAAATAATTTGAAAGGTAATGCATTTTTGCTAAGTGAGGAGTTTGCAGAAAGTTAATTACAGTTACCTCTAAACCAGTAGAATAAACCATGAAGGGAAATTCTTGTTTTTTTTTTTTCTTCATTTGTTGAGAATGAAGTACACTCTGAAATCAATTGATATGGAAAAATAGAGCAGATATGGTTTTATTTTGTTCTTGTTCCTTCCATAAATCCCAACCTAGCTTTTCTCTAGGCTCAAAGATGCGCTGAGAGGATGATCTATGTTAGTTAAAGAAGAGATAGAAGAAACGGTTATACGGGTAGGTTAACTCAGACTCAACCTCAGAAATACAGCTACGTATTCAAAAATAAAAGTAGAATTTTTTTTCTATTCTTCATATCTCCTTACTTATCTATTACCTCCTTAAGCACTAAGTCCAGATCATGTGTGTCCTGTAATAATTTTCTTTACAGTGGATATAGTTTGCTACAAATGTTTTTTTAATACTAGATTACATATTCAAATTGCTATGATGCTCTTTCTTGAGATAAATGTGTTCCAGTAAAGCATACGTTTTACATTTTAAAACTGATTTTAGAGAATCTTGAGAGTCTCCCAATTTATATGCCATAGCATTAATCAGGATTCCTGGGTAATTCGAGTTGCTGGGTTAACAGAAATAACTAGCATCCCTGTAATACGTTGTTCTTTGAAGAATACTCCTACGTATTTATTGTTTTATGAGATCCTCATAACTGCCCTATGGAAGATAAAAATTTTAGTATCTAAATTTTATGGAAGAGGAAATTGATGCTTGGTGAGTGTAAATGATACGAAGCAGGATTGAAACTAGAAATGTTATGTGCTCTTATGTTACTTCACCTGAATGACCAGAGTTCACTATAATTCCCTAGATCATTGACTGGTTTATGTATAATGTGTCACATGTCCAAGGAATTTCACAGGCTCTTGCATTATTTTCTGCAACATAATCTATTGCAGTAACCAGTATTTTCATCATTTTCCATATTGCTGAAAATAATACTGCCATACACTTGCAAGATATTAGATAATGTTAAGTAAATCTACTTGGAAATGCTTTATAAAAAAGATTAATAACACAAATTTGAAGTTGAGTTCTAATGTGGTCATAACAGTGAATTTAAGAATGAGTATATATGTGAGGGAAACAGGTATGTGAGATTGTCGAATGAAGACTACAGATTAATTTAGTTGGTTTCCCTTGCTTTAATTCCCATAAACTCTACTGTGGCTTTTTCTATACATTACATTCTTTGGCCTGGCTGTACTTAGGAAACTTCATGCCAAACCCCTCTTTTTTCTCCATTGAATCGACTTTTCATCTGGCTATCTTAAAACAAGAGAGTATCAGATTTGAAAAATTCACATGATGTCTGCAAGACTGCTAGAGATTCCTACTATACGCATCACCTCCCCAATATCCCTCCTCTGGTCATTATTCTCTTGTTCCCATTATTTTAGGGCTAAATGAACTTTAACCATATGTAACAACAGCCCACTATTTGGCTCTTAGTTTTTGATCATTCAGATTTACCATCAAGACTTTACAAGAATATCTAATGAAACAAAAAATAATGAATTATTTCTAAAAAAAAATTCTTTTTGGAAGTTGCAAGAAATAATTTGACATGGTTTGGCTGTGTCCCCACACAAATCTCATCTTGAATTGTAGCTCCGGTATTTTCCACGTGTTGTGGAAGGGAGCCAGTGGGAGATAACTGAATCATGGGGGCCGTTTCACCCATACTGTTCTCATGGTAGTGAATAAGTCTCACGACAACTGATGGCTTTGTAAGGGGAAACCCCTTTAACTTGGCTTTCATTCTCTCTGTTGCCTGCAGCCATGTAAGTTGTGCCTTTCACCTTCCACCATGATTGTAAGGCCTCCCCAGCTACGTGGAACTGTGAGTCCATTAAACCTCTTTTTCCTTATAAATTACCCAGCCTTGGGTATGTCTTTATCAGCACCATGAAAACAAACTAATAAAGAAATAAAAGGCAAAGAAAAGTGAAATTATAGTAATTTACTACTCCAGAGTTATCTCAAATTGATTACATATTTAATATTTTATTTGCTTTTATTAAAATTAAATAAAATAGTATAAACATGTATATTAAAATTGCAAAAATTAAAGTATGAAGTTATCTATGCTATCAGTAAATTAATAATTGCTTTTGTGTGAAGTAATATACATATCTCCTTAGAGTTAAAAAAGACCCAGTCCTACTGATCATCTTAATGAATAATTCACTCACCTATTCAGTAAAGTAGTTCTGGTGAATTCCTGTTTCTGAAAGAATAGAAAAAAATCACTTTTTGTTTCATTTATAAGTTTGAATAATAGGAAAATTATAATATTACTCTGAAGTTTTAAATGTTTCAACCAATAACTGATGTAAATCCTCATTCTGGGATACCATTATTCGGTCAGTTCAACAGTTTCCCTTTTATTAAATAAGTATGTAATCAATTGCAATTAAAAATACTATTCAGAGCTTTAAGAAATCAAAAGCATTAGCTTTAATTGAATCAGTCATTGTCTAACAATGGCTACACTATAAATGACATCAAAAAATAACATAAAAGCAGATTCTGTAAGTCTTTTCAGAAGCAGCAGCCATTGCACTTATAAATAGTGTAGAAATGCTGGATACCTTTGGGTTTTTTTTTTAAATTTGTTTGTTGAAAGCAATTTTATTGAGTTTCTCTTATCCATCTGGATACATTAAAATTAAAATATTGGTGTCCTCTTTTAGTTGTAACAAATTTGTTTCAGACATAGTGTACTGAAAAGTAGTTTCTCTTATGCTTAGTTTCTTTGTCCTACTTTGAAGGCAAATTCTTCCTCTTCTTTTTAAACCTCTTCTTCATTTTATTTTCTTTATGTTTTTATAAATTAGGGATAATAATGTATTATAAAGAAGTGACAAGATAATAAGTGTGCATCTTTTGTTTCTTCTGAAAATCTACTCTGAACCTCTTCCCTACCCCACTTCTAAAATTGTTCCATATACAAAAGGATAAATGAATGCTGAGTTCTACCTTTGATTCCAAATTTTTCATTCTAGGTAAATTATTATTATTAAAATATTTTTCCTGGCAATAATCTTCACTTTTATTTAATAGACTTGGTCTCAGATTTGTATGATTCTACCTTCTTTGAGCTTTTGTCTCTCCATCTGAATAAAATTAACTACAAAAATTCCTCTTATCTACCAATTGAAAACTTTACAAGTATTAATGAGACAAGGAAACAATGTTCCAAATGAATACCAAGAAAATCTCTATGTAGTTTAAGCATAAAACATCATTAAAGAGTAAAAAATATTTGCTGCTTCTTTTTGTTACCACCAAAATCAAGTACAGATTTGCCTTACCAGGATAAGAGATATACAGTAATGAACTCTGCTTTCTGGAAAACTATACCTTTAATCATTTGATGTATATCACTAAGAACATTTGCAGCATATTCATTAGAAGTCAGAAAACAACTGTTAGAATTTCTTTGAATAACAGAAATATTTATTCAAAGTAACAAGAAAAGTTCCAACACTTTAGCGGAATACCATCACATTTTTAATATTTGAGACCAAAATAATTGCTTATTTATGTATTAATATTTTACTTATCATAGCAATTAAGTACAAATTAGAAAATCTCTAAATACTGTGACATATTCTGATATAAATAATTACACTCAGATAATTCTACCTGATATATTTTAGCTAGAAAAGTAGAGCAAAGATTCAATTCAACATGGCATATAATGATGCACAGGATTTTTTCAAGAAAATTTTGATAAATATACCAGACTACAACCTGCATAAGAACAAGGACAATGTTCCACTCATTTTAAAATATTTCTTTGGAGCACTGGAACTGAGATTGCTAATGGTGGTCCACAGTAAATACTAGCTATAGTTATCTTCAAAATGGAGGTAATAGTTGTATTTATGTTAGGGCTGTGTGCAATAAATGAGATAATGTGAATAAAATGCCTATCACAATCACTAGTTCTTAGTAAACATTCAATGAATGTTAGTAATGAAAATAATAACAGTATTAAATACAAGGATAAACTATTCTATCAATGTGTTTTAGGGAAGTAAAACACCAATTAATGTATACTCTTTATATGAAAGCATGTTAATTATCCAAATATTTTAAAATCTAATATATCTTGCGAGAAGCTTTTATTCTGTTTCACCAAGATACAAACAGGAATGAAAGAAAAATGATAGTATTCAGATTGTTAATTAACATACATGGATTTGATTTTGATTGATAAAATTGGATTGCTATGGTTAATTGTAATATGCTTAAGGTTAATTTTTTGATCCCTAACTATACTACACAGCGTTTACAGAGTAAAAATTATCACTGAAATAAGTTAATTTTCAGGCTTTCATCCTCAATATTGTGGATGTTTTTATTACTATTGCTATCAACAATCAACATTTTTCAATATTTTTAATTTTCTTTTCTTTTTTTGTTTTTTTCAGATTATTTTATTTTATTTTATTATTATTATACTTTAAGTTTTAGGGTACATGTGCACAATGTGCAGGTTAGTTACATATGTATACATGTGCCATGCTGGTGAGCTGCACCCATTAACTCGTCATTTAGCATTAGGTATATCTCCTAATGCTATCCCTCCCCCCTCCCCCACCCCACAACAGTTTTAATTTTCAATATAAGTTCAATCTACTTAAAATATTTTTTAGTTGTATTATATTTGTTGAATGTAACTATAACTGAGATAAAGGAATTTACTATTCTGTGTTACTGATAACTATAGAAACAGACAAAATTTTAAATGGGCCATCCAAACTTACCAGCATTAATGCAGTATGTATTAGAGCAAAGTAGTTAAGAACAAAAGCTTGAACTGAAGGTAGACATGGACGAGAGTACTGCCCTTTGTCCGTACCAACCGTTTCTCAGTTTCCTCATTGGCAAAATGTGAAAAATAATTTCATCTTCATTAAGCAAAGTAATTCATTACATTGCTTCTCTGGTGAACTGATACATAGTAAAAATACAGTGTTAGTCATTATTATTTGAAGAAAGTCTCAGCTCTCATGATATGCTTGTGATGTATCACTAGTGTCACATTTCTGTGAATATGGATTAACTCTAAAACATTGTGATAAAATCTTGATTTTAATTATTCATTCCTGCATTTATCTTAACTTTGGTCACTTGAATAGTTTTGTATGTTTTCTTACTTGATTTTGAAAGGTAGATTTTGTGTTGAATATAATTTTATTCCAACGCATTAAAGACTCATTCAGTGGGAATCTGGGAAAAATAACTAGTGCAACTGTATTAGCTAAATCATATAGATAACTATATCTTGTCTTTTTAAATAATCAATTTAGTTTTTAGGGACATCAAGAATTAAAGTTTGGAAACCTCTAGATTTCAGAGGAGGTATGGAAACACCTGGATATCCAGGCAGAGGAGTGCTGTAGGGGTGGAGTTCTCATGGAGAACCTCTGCTAGGGCAGAGTGGAATGAAAATGTGGGGTGAGAGCCCCCACACAGAGTCCCCACGGGGCACTGCCTAGTGGGGCTGTGAGAAGAGGGCTACCATCCTCCAGACCCCTGAATAGTAGATCCACTGACAACTTGCACCATGCACCACAGACACTCACAGACACTCAATGCCAGGCTGTGAAGGCAGCCAGGAGGGAAGCTGTGCCCTGCAAAGCCACAGGGGTGTAGTTGCTTAAGGCAGAATGATATGGTTTGACTCTGTGTCCCCACCCAAATCTCACCTTGATTGTAGTGCCCATAATCCCCATGTGTCATGGGAGGGACCCAGTGGGAGGTAATTTAATCATGGGGATGGTTACTCTCATGCTGTTCTCATGACAGTGAGTGAGTTCTCACAAGGTCTGACAGTTTTATAAAGGGCTTTTCCCCCTTTTGCACCATGCACCACAACTTGCACCATGCACCACTGACAACAAGCCACAGACACTCAATGCCAGGCTGTGAAGACAGCCAGGAGGGAAGCTGTACCCTGCAAAGCCACAGGGGTGTAGTTGCTCAAGGCAGAATGATATGGTTTGGCTCTGTGTCCCCACCCAAATCTCACCTTGATTGTAGTGCCCATAATCCCCATGTGTCATGGGAGGGACCCAGTGGGAGGTAATTTAATCATAGGGATGGTTACTCTCATGCTGTTCTCATGACAGTGAGTGAACTCTCACAAGGTCTGACAGTTTTATAAGGGGCTTTTCCCCCTTTTGCTTGGCACTTCTTTCTCCAGCCACGTTGTGAAGAAGGATGTGTTTGCTTCCCCTTCCACTATGACTGTAAGTTTCCTGAAGCCTCCCCAGCCAGGTGAAACTGTGAGTCCATTGAACTTCTTTCCTTTATAAATTACCCAGTCTGGGGCAGTTCTTTATAGCAGTGTGAGAACAGACTAATACACCTTCTGTTTCAAGATAATGAGAGGCTTTTTTTCCTTTTAAATGGCTTCTACTGAAACTTTTGTGGTTGTTGTCTATCAGTTTTAAAGATCAGGGGTAAGGCCAGGCCTAAGTCTCAGAAAATGTTTGCAGTTTTCTCAAATGATTTAAAATGGAATAAAGTGTTCTCAGTCAACAGTAGTAAAAGTTACAGAGATAATCTCTTTAGTGGGTCTTATCTAGTTCCTATGTATGCACAGTAAAATATGTCATAAAATACAGTAAGAAAGTTTTTACGTTAAGAGAAACTGCTAGTGGTCTATCATAAAGAAAAAAAGAGAGAAGAATAAAATAGACACAATAAAAAATGATAAAGGGGATATCACCACCAATCCCACAGAAATACAAACTACCATTAGAGAATACTATAAACACCTCTATGCAAATAAACTAGAAAATCTAGAAGAAATGGATAACTTCCTCAACACATACACCCTCCCAAGACTAAACCAGGAAGAAGTTGAATCTCTGAATAGATCAATAACAGGCTCTGAAATTGAGGCAATAATTAATAGCTTACCAACCAAAAAAAGTCCAGGACCAGATGGATTCATAGCCGAATTCTACCAGAGGTACAAGGAGGAGCTGGTACCATTCCTTCTGAAACTATTCCAATCAATAGAAAAAGAGGGAATCCTCCCTAACTCATTTTATGAGGCCAGCGTCATCCTGATACCAAAGCGTGGCAGAGACAAAACAAAAAAAGAGAATTTTAGACCAATATCCCTGATGAACATCAATACAAAAATCCTCCATAAAATACTGGCAAACCGAATCCAGCAGCACATCAAAAAGCTTATCCACCATGATCAAGTGGGCTTCATCCCTGGGATGCAAGGCTGGTTCAACATATGCAAATCAATAAATGTAATCCAGCATATAAACAGAACCAACGACAAAAACCATATAATTGTCTCAATAGATGCAGAAAAGGCCTTTGACAAAATTCAACAACACTTCATGCTAAAAACTCTCAATAAATTAGGTATTGATGGGACATATCTCAAAATAATAAGAGCTATCTATGACAAACCCACAGCCAATATCATACTGAATGGGCAAAAATGGAAGCATTCCCTTTGAAAACTGGCACAAGACAGGGATGCCATCTCTCACAACTCCTATTCAACATAGTGTTGGAAGTTCTGGCCAGGGTAATTAGGCAGGAGAAGGAAATAAAGAGTATTCAATCAGGAAAAGAGGAAGTCAAATTGTCCCTGTTTGCAGATGACATGATTGTATATCTAGAAAACCCCATTGTCTCAGCCAAAAATCTCCTTAAGCTGATAGGCAACTTCAGCAAAGTCTCAGGATACAAAATCGATGTGCAAGAATCACAAGCATTCTTATACACCAATAACAGACAAACAGAGAGCCAAATCATGAGTGAACTCCCATTCACAATTGCTTCAAAGAGAATAAAATACCTAGGAATCCAACTTACAAGGGACGTGAAAGACCTCTTCAAGGAGAACTACAAACCACTGCTCAATGAAATAAAAGAGGATACAAACAAATGGAAGAACATTCCATGCTCATGGGTAGGAAGAATCAATATCGTGAAAATGGCCATACTGCCCAAGGTAATTTATAGATTCAATGCCATCCCCATCAAGCTACCAATGCCTTTCTTCACAGAATTGGAAAAAACTACTTTAAAGTTCATATGGAACCAAAAAAGAGCCTGCATCACCAAGTCAATCCTAAGCCAAAAGAACAAAGCTGGAGGCATAAACCTACCTGATTTCAAACTATACTACAAGGCTACAGTAACCAAAACAGCATGGTACTGGTACCAAAACAGAGATGTAGACCAATGGAACAGAACAGAGCCCTCAGAAATAATGCCACATATCTACACCTATCTGATCTTTGACAAACCTGACAAAAACAAGAAATGGGGAAAGGATTCCCTATTTAACAAATCGTGCTGGAAAAACTGGCTAGCCATATGTAGAAAGCTGAAACTGGATCCCTTCCTTACACCTTATACAAAAATTAATTCAAGATGGATTAAAGACTTGAATGTTAGACCTAAAACCATAAAAACCCTAGAAGAAAACCTAGGCAATACCATTCAGGACATAGGCATGGGCAAGGACTTCATGTCTAAAACACCAAAAGCAATGGCAACAAAAGCCAAAATTGACAAATGGGATCTAATTAAACTAAAGAGCTTCTGCACAGCAAAAGAAATTACCATCAGAGTGAACAGGCAACCGATAGAATGGGAGAAAATTTTTGCAACAAGGCGAAGGATATGAACAGACACTTCTCAAAAGAAGACATTTATGCAGCCAAAAGGCACATGAAAAAATGCTCATCATCACTGGCCATCAGACAAATGCAAATCAAAAGCACAATGAGATACCATCTCACAGCAGTTAGAATGGCACCTAGAAACAACAGGTGCTGGAGAGGATGTGGAGAAATAGGAACACTTTTACACTGTTGGTGGGACTGTAAACTAGTTCAACCATTGTGGAAGTCAGTGTGGTGATTCCTCAGGTATCTAGAACTAGAAATACCATTTGACCCAGCCATCCCATTACTAGGTATGTACCCAAAGGATTATGAATCATGCTGCTATAAAGACACATGCACACATATATTTATTGTGACACTATTCACAATAGCAAAGACTTGGAACCAAGCCAAATGTCCAACAATGATAGACTGGATTAAGAAAATGTGGCACATATACACCATGGAATACTATGCAGCCATAAAAAATGATGAGTTCATGTCCTTTGCAGGGACATGGATGAAGCTGGAAACCATCATTCTCAGCAAACTATTGCAAGGACAAAAAACCAAACACTGCATGTTCTCACTCATAGGTGTGAATTGAACAATGAGAATACATGGACACAGGAAGGGGAACATCACACACCGGGGCCTGTTTTGGGGTGGGAGGAGGGGGAAGGGACAGCATTAGGAGATATACCTAATGTTAAATGACGAGTTAATGGGTGCAGCACACCAACATGGCACATGTATACGTATGTAACTAACCTGCACATTGTGCACATGTACCCTAAAACTTAAAGTATAATAAAAAAGTAAATAAATAAATAAAAAGAGAAACTTGTGACCAAGGCATTAGAATGCTTCTCTTGGGTATTTAAGTTGCTGGACAGAGATTATGCAAGAAGAGTTATTAGTAAAAGTTTCAGACCAATAACTACTATTTTTTCCCATTAATTGCTACTCTCAGTCACAATATACTCCATTATTTTAAATACTTTGATTATACCCTTTTCAAGTTACTGGGCCTAGTTATTGTATATGGGGATGAGAAGGAGAGAGAAGGTACACATGATTCTCACTGGCCTTATTGGATTTTACATATATCATTTCAAAGCCTGTATACTCTGGTTTAGGATTTTATTACTCCTTCTCAGGAATCATTTAGGAGCAAAAGTAAATAAATATATAAACTACTGTCTCCTTTGTCTTAGTCCTAGTCAGCTTGGCACAGTTTGCATAATTGCAATACAATAAAATGTCAATTAAGAAGTACCTCAGAAGGATTGTTAACATTAGTTAGTCTCCTCTAGCTGACTTCTGGTGCTGCATCTGCAGAATCTATGAAAATAGGATTTTTCAATAGACTTATAACTCATTCATTAGTCAGAGTGCTACTTATTTAGACTGTCAGAAATTATACAAATTTTCAAGTAAGGTTTAAGCCAGTGATCAGTTATACTTGAAATGCACAAGTAAGAAGCTATTATTGTGAGTTCAGCTCAGAATATTTTAATAATGTTTCTGGTTTCTGTACACTTCCTAGAAGAGGCTCATAAATTTGGCTCTAAGCATTTTCTCCAAAGTGGAAAAAGAAACAGTTTAAAAACACATTTATTCATTTATTTAAGAAATATTCATTGAACTCTGTTAAGATACTCCTTTAAAAGTCTCAGTGTACATAAAAATAAAAGCAAACTAATTTTTCAGGAGATGCATAACTCTTCCTGGGACTAAGGCCAGAGTGAAACTTCCTGTGTGGGCCATCATAAAGAGAATACCGTGTATGGCTCATTGTCCTGGGTTTGACATTGTTTCCAAATGTCACAGTTAAGAATCTTTTTTTTTATTATTATACTTTAAGTTCTAGGGTACATGTGCACAACGTGCAGGTTAGTTACATAGCACAACGTACAGGTTAGTTAGTTAGTATACATGTGTCATGTTGGTATGCTGCACCCATTAACTCGTCATTTACATTAGGTATATCTCCTATGCTATCCCTCCCCGCTCCCCCCACCCCACAACAGGCCCCAGTGTGTGATGTTTCCTTTCCTGTGGTCAAGTGTTGTCATTGTTCAATTCCCACCTATGAGTGAGAACATGTGGTGTTTGATTTTTGTCCTTGCGATAGTTTGCTGAGAATGATGGTTTCCAGCTTCATCCATGTCCCTGCAAAGGACATGAGCTCATCTTTTTTTGTGGCTGCATAGTATTCCATGGTGTATATGTGCCACATTTTCTTAATCCAGCCTATCATTGTTGGACATTTGGGTTGGTTTCAAGTCTTTGCTATTGTGAATAGTGCTGCAATAAACATATATGTGCATGTGTCTTTATAGCAGCATGATTTATAATCCTTTGGGTATATACCCAGTAATGCGATGGCTGGGTCAAATGGTATTTCTAGTTCAAAAAAAAAAAGAAGAATATTTCACCACCCTAAATCCTGGGCATGTTTTTCTGCATTTTGGGTGTAGGTTTTTAAGGTTTAAATTTATAATAGACACCCATTTCATCAAAATTGAAAATTTGATTTGTGTAATGTGGTAAGCATCATATTCAACAACATTCTTACAGTGAATAGAATAATGAATTTCAGAGGATAGTTTCTTATAATGTCCTTCACTGTAGGTTGATTTCCTAATGCCATGGCCAGTATAGGGAAAGCAATTTTGGGGAAATAAAAATGATTTGGCCCCATCATACAGCTCTCTCATTGACTGGCTTCCCCTTATGATAGATTTTAATGTTTAGTTAGTTCTTCTATAACACAACTTATAGTATTCTAAAAAACACCATATTTTTTTTTCCAAAATTGTATAAGAAAAACCTGAGGGCTCATGAGAAAAATGAGGTTTGGGCACAATATTCAAACACTTTTTCAGTGACACATAAAAAATAAATAATAGAAATCTAATATACGTGGTAGCACAATTTCACATAAATGCTATAATATGGCACTTTACCTTGTGGAAGTAGGTTTCAGAAGGATTGCAGCTTGTGAGTTATTGTGAGGTTGTGTGGGGTGATTATCTGAAAGCAAATGCAAAGTTGTAGCAGGAGATGTGGATAGGTGTGTGTATTAGTCTGTTCTCAGGCTGCCTATAAAGGCATACCTGAGACTGGGTAATTATAAAGAAAAGAGGTTTAATGAACTCACAGTTCCACATGGCTGAGGAGGCCTCACAATCATGGTGGAAGGCAAGGAGGGGCAAGATACATATTACTTGGTGGCAGGTAACAGAGGGTTTGTTCAGGGGAACTCTCATTTATAAAACCAGCAGATCTTGTGAAACTTACTCACTACCCTGAGAATAGTATGGGGGAAACTGCCCCCGTGATTCAATTATCTCCACCTGGCCCCACCCTTGACATGCGAGGATTATTACAATTCAAGGTGAGATTGGTGTGGGCACACAGGCAAATCATATCAGCACGGCTCATTGTCCTGGGTTTGGCATTGTTTCCAAATGCCGCAGTTAAAAATCTTTCACAGCCTTAAATCCTGGGCATGTTTTTCTGCATTTCAGGTGTAGGTTTTTAAGGTTTAAATTTATAATAGACACGTATTTCATAAAAATTGTAAATCTGATTTGGCATATAGACTTCTTCAAGTAAATTGTGAATCATTGCTGGGAATTATGTTGTGGATGTCTCATGTGCACCCATAGCTTATCCAGACAGCTGAAGGCTTTGAGAATTGTAGAGATGTTTGACAACACTAAAATAGCCACCCCTAGGACTCATTTTCCGAGATAAAAGAAGTCACTTCTGCAGGATTTAGCAAACTCTGTTTTTTTTTTTCTTTTTCTTTTTTTTTTTTTTTTTTGAGACGGAGTCTCACTCTTGTTGCCCAGGCCGTAGTGCAATGCTGCGATCTCAGCTCACCGCAACCTCTGCCTCCTGGGTTCAAGTGATTCTCCTGCCTCAGCCTCCCCAGTAGCTGGGATTACAGGCATGCACCACCTTGCCTGGTTAATTTTTTTTTTTTTGGTATTTTTTTTTAAGTAGAGATGGGGTTTCTCCATGTTGTTCAGGCTGGTCTTGAACTCCCAACCTCAGGTGATCCACCCGCCTCTGCCTCCCAGAGTGCTGGGATTACAGGCATGAGCCACCACACCCAGCCTATTCTGTTTAAGGATGTTATCTATAGACAGTCTTTTATTTTTATGAGACAATTGTTCCCAATATTTTTCACTGTTGAGACTAGAATTTATATGCTCAACAATCTTTTCATTTCCTTAATTTATTGTGGCCTTGTTGTTACTGACTTTGCAGCAGTACTTCAAGTGGTTCCTGCCTGTGTAAAGTTTTTGTACACCAACAACCAATTCTCTGAGTCTCTCACACCAACTGGATGCCCAACAACTCAAATTTAATTTTGATATTATCTACCTGAATTTGGCATCATATCCCACAGATTAAAGGGCTTGGTTCCTCAAACTGCTTTCATTTCAGATGCCAGCTGCAACTCCTGGGGGCCACCCGTACTTTTGACTGACTGGCTATAATTCAGGGGTTCCTATGACATCCTTCTCAGGTTGGACAATTTGCTAGAACAACTCACAGAAGTCAGAAAAACACTACTTATGTTTACTATTTTATTTTAAAGGATAAAACTCAGAAACAGCGAAATAGAAGAGATGCACAGGGCAAGGTATTGAGGAGGGGATGCTGTGCAACTACCATGCCCTGTTCAGGCACGCCACCCTCACAGCACCATGAAGTGTTCACCCACCCAGAAGAAGCTCCCTGAATCACATGGTTCAAGAAGATTCATAGGGTCAAATCACCAGTCTCCTGCTCATCTCCTCAGAGGCCAATGGTTAGGGTAGAATTTCCACCCCTCAAATTACTTGGTCCTTCTGGTGACCTGCCCCCTCCTGAGGCTACCTAGGAGCCCCACACTAAATCAATTCATTAGCATAAACTTAGGTGTTTTAAAATGACACTCCAGTTTCCCAGGAAATTTCATAGATTATAGGAGCCCTGTTCCAGGAACCAAAAACAAAGACCAAATAGATTTTTATTATATCACAGAGTCATATACATTTGTTTTTTCTTGCTTATTATCTCTAAGGGGTCACAGAGTGGATTTCTGTCTGTTGCTTGGGAAACATCATGTTCTCTCAATGTGAAGCACTTCATTATTCAAGCTTTTCCTCAGTACTTAAATTTTTTCTTTTTATGCACTACTTGGTATTTTTGAACCAAAATATTTATACATTTTGGATGTTTACTTTTTATTTAGTATAAAAATATCCTCAAATACAAAAGAATGGCAAGACATAAACTTGTAGGATAACATACATAATAAACTGAGGTTTCCAGTGAATTGTTTTGTGTGTGTGTGTGTGTGTGTGTGTGTGTGTGTGTATGTTTTTTATATTATTATGCTGGGTGCAGTTTTCTGTGTTTACCGAGAGATTTTCAGAGCTTAATACAATGCGAAATCCTCTTTATGTTCAAATTGTTCCCTAATATATCAATCGTGTTGGAACAAATTCATGTTTTCAAAAAATATTTTAGCAGAAATGACTGCACTTGAGGAATGATGAGCAGCATATTCTTCAGAAAATGCTACTTAAATAATGGATACATTTTTCATATATATATTTATAATGTTGAGAGGCAGAGTTTAAGACGATCCTCCCTAATAAGTAACTGGAGTGAAGTTATTCTATACCACTGTTTGCATGAAGCACTAACTACTTACCTTAGCTGAGAACTCAGAGCTAAGTTGCAGGACCCAGTACCCTATCCTCTTTACTTACCAAAGCATTAACTATAGGATGAACCTTCAGAAAAAAAAAATAAAAAGTGAAAGATATTGACTTCAGATACTACTGCTGCCCCTTACATATTCTAAAATTTAATATAGCTTATAATGTATTTTCAAATATATGTCAATATTTACAATGTTTTTACAAAGTCCAGGAGAACACGCCATTACCCAGTTAATCAATCAACAGATATCTGAGCCCAAGTGTGGTATTGCCTAAGTCCCAACACTTTTTTTTTTTTTTTTTTTTGAGACGGAGTCTCGCTCTGTCGCCCAGGCTGGAGTGCAGTGGCAGGATCTCGGCTCACTGCAAGCTCCGCCTCCCGGGTTCACGCCATTCTCCTGCCTCAGCCGCCCAAGTAGCTGGGACTACAGGCGCCCGCCACTACCCCCGGCTAATTTTTTGTATTTTTAGTAGAGACGGGGTTTCACCGTTTTAGCCGGGATGGTCTCGATCTCCTGACCTCGTGATCCGCCCGCCTCGGCCTCCCAAAGTGCTGGGATTACAGGCGTGAGCCACCGCGCCCGGCCAGTCCCAACACTTTAAGAAGCTTATATATAAGTTTCTATTTTTCATTTCTTTGCATTCTATTTATTTTCCACCACTACATCACTACATCATGTTGTAATGAGTATCTTTTTTTTAACCATCATTTTAAGTTGCCTCTTATTTTATTAAGTGAAACTTAGCTCTAGGACTCTTTATGTGAAAAACACTGTGGAAATCCTTATCTTGGAAGAAACCACAATGTTATGGTTATACCATACTTTATCAGCTAGTCTCCCATAGGAGAAAATACCTGGAGAAGGTCCCCTGTTTTATGGCATTATATAATTTGTCTAATAAAATAAACAGCGTCATTAGCAAGAGATATGTGAAAAGCCGAGTGACTGATTTGAATATTAGGCTCAAAATATAACCTTTCTTGTCATTTCCACCAGGTAGCATGGAACTTAAATGTGAAAATTTTCTGTTTAGCAAAGCATTTGAAATTAGTAACCCATCCTTAGGATGTGGGGATATAACTTCTGGTTCTATCTAGTAGGAAAGAACTATAATATTAGAAAAAACCCTATTTAAAACAATTTGCACTAAAAAGACAAATACTATTTAAAAAGAAAAAAGGGTACACCTGTTTGAAATGCTGACTCAGAAAAAATGGTGACTTTTTCAAAGAAAGTCATAATATTATGAATCAGAAAATAGGATTGTGTACTCCACTAATTTCTAGGTGGAAGGAAAAAGAACTGTTTCAAATGTTTCAAAATGTTGATGAAAAGAGGGGTGCACTTGTAAAATGTGAATTATAAAGATCAATTGGAGACAGGGGAAATTACCTAAATATAGAATCTTTCATTCTTATTCCTTGTAGAAAACAGGAAAATATTTACTGGCTTTATCTTAAAGCAGAGAAAAAGATGATTGACCAAAAAAAAGTACTATTCTCAGGATGCATGTTTCCTTGAGTGGCAGCAGTCTTAAGGAACAATATTTACAGAGGGGAATTTAAAAAATACATATTACCTATTATAATCTTGTAACATGACAAGCCAATATGTTAATGTGTTTAATTATATATTTTTAAATGTTTGAATGACATATTTATGTAGTGCATTTTAAAAGAAAAACAACTTTACAGTTTGTAGTGTATTGGATATTCTTAAGGCAATTTTGCCTTGCTATCCAGAGCTTATTGAATCTTAATATTCTTTTTTTATCCAATAAATATTGTTGAAGAACAACTATATGTTAGGGAAACTCTTCAGCACTGAGGATGTAAATAAAAATAAGATATACCTTCACACTTTGAGAATTTCACCATACAGCAAGAAGCTCTACAGACTCTATAATGTATCCTAGTATTACTGATCAAATACAAACTATATATCTCTTTAGTAGTGTGAATATGAAGGGATGATGTAGCAGATTCCTTGAAATCATCATTAGCATATTTCCTAATTAAATCATAGACATTTTAAATAAGATCATTCTTGATTTAGAAGTAAGTGTTATATTAGCACTATATTCTATATGCTAAAAACAGAAAGGTCTGGAATAGAATGAAGCTTCTTGAATGGTACATCATATAAGAATTTAAGGAATGTCCCGTTATCCATAAACTTTCTGAAGATACTCTCATCTACTCAAAATTAAGCCCCTTTTCTGTTTTATTTATTCATGTATTCATTCACTGATGTGTTGATTCATTCATCAAGAAATGCCTCAGTCTTAAGCATAAAAAAAGAAAACAACATATTCCTTGTTTGCAAATAGCTCAGTTTCTTAACTTGTTCTAGCCTTCTATACTCTTGTTTCTAAAATGGCAACATCTCTGAGCGTTTTCACAGTGGTAGTATTGTATTAGTCTGTTCTCACACTGCTATAAAGAACTGCCTGAGACTGGGTAATTTATAAAGGAAAGAGATTTAATTGACTCACCGTTCCACAAGGCTGGGGAGGCCTCAGGAAACTTACAATTATGCTGGAAAGGGAAGCAAACACATCCTTCTTCACATGGTGGCAGGAGAGAGAAATGAGTGTCCAGCAAAGGGGTGAGCCCCTTATAAAACCATCAGATCTTGTGAAAACTCACTCACTACCATGAGAACAGGATGGGGCAAACCGATCCCACGACTCAATTATCTCCATCTGGTCCCTCCTATGACATGTGGGGATTATGGGAACTGCAATTCAGAATGAGATTTTGGTGGGGACACAGCCAAACCATATCAAGTATATAATCAAGAAGCCCAGGCCAAAGGTTTGAGGCAAGTAATCCCAGCACTTTGGGAGGCCAAGGCGGGTGGATCACCTGAGGTCAGGAGTTCAAAAGCAGCCTGACCAACATGGAGAAACCCCATCTCTACTATAATTACGAAATAAGCTAGGCGTGGTGGTGCATGCCTGTAATCCCAGCTACTCAGGAGGCTGAGGCAGAAGAATCACTTGAACTCAGGAGGCAGAGGTTGTGGCAAGCCGAGATCGCGCCATTGCACTCCAGGCTGGGCAACAAGGGCAAACTCTGTCTCAAAAAAAAAAAAAAAGAAAAAGAAAAAATAGGCGATAAGAGCCAGACCCCTTTTCATAGCCCATTGACAATACTAGGTAAGTATTTTACAGTGATAATAGAAGAGAAGGACTGGTTTAGGTATTCTCCTTAATCTCCAAACCCTTTCTTTAAAAAGAAGCTTATTTAATTAATTTATTTAACAGACACTTAACTAGCACTTAGCACATATAATGTTCCAGGTACTATTTGAAACTCTTCAAGATCGCAAAGCACTTTAAGTGGGCCCTGAATAGAAGACAATATATGCTATTACAAGCTGGTGGAATTTAATCTTCTGGTGAAATAATCATAACATTAATAATAATTACTAACTCTTCCTGCCTGAGACTTTATATACATTTCCCTTAATACAAATTGCAAAAATATATATAGGCCCTATATATTGCCATCCCTGTTTTATGGTTGTGTAAAATAGAGGTTAAATGTCCAGGGTCACAAAGTAACTGTTGGAGCCTGGATTCAAATCCACATCTGTCTGACTTCAAAGCTTAAGATCATACCCATCACCACCACAATGTACTGGGTTGTATGTGAATTTGGATGCATAGTTAAGGATCTTCTACAGAATCTTCCTCATAGCTTGTCAGATTTTCTGGTGTTATATGATTATTGATTCATTTTAAGGGAACACTCTTAAAATTACTCTTAAAAATTCAAAAAAACCAGAAACCTAGTAGTACAATGAAGAAGTTTTGATAGTAAATTTTTAGCCATGCATATTGAAACCTGAGAAGAGTAGTGAGCAAAATTGCTAAAGAAAGTGACTTCGTTAGAAAGAGCAAGGAAGTTGAAAGGAGCTGCTAACTTGGTAGACTTAACTGTTTACCTATCCATGTCTGTCTACCTGGCACTAATTGCCAAATATAATTGTTCAGACTTCTATATTGAGTCTTGAGATATCTGCACCATCAATTAATTAGCGGCATGTATATCTCTTTTATTTAAGATTTAAATTAAAGTAACTAATAAATGTATGATAGAGTAATCTACTTTAACACGAGTGTTTTGGCACACTGGATTTTGTTCACCAGAGGCTAGAATAGCAAAAGTGATGTCTCAGGAAAATAACCCTTAAAATGTTTCTATTTAGGACTTCGTTGGTCTGTAACACAGATCTCTTCCTTTTTCTTCTTTTAATTATTTTACTAGATCTTTCTCTTCTTTCTTAACTTTTGTAAAATCAACCCTGATATACAGTTGACCTTTGAACAATATGGTTTTGACCTGTGCGGATCCACTTACATACAGATTTTTTCAATAAATATGTTGGAATATATTTTGGAGATTTGCAACAATTTGAAAAAACTCACAGACAAGCCACATATCTTAGACATATAGAAAAAAATAACAAAAAGTTATGTATGTTGCAAATGCATAAAATACCTAGATACTTGTCTATTTTATTATTTATCACCATAAAATACACACAAATCTGTTATAAAAAGTTAAAATACATCAAAACTTATTCATACAACCACTTACAGACCTTACATAGTGTCATTTGCGGTTGAAAGTAGACAAACATAAAGATATGTTATTAAATCACAACTCCATAAAATTAACTGTAGTATGTGGTGCACTACTACAATTTCATAGCCACCTTCTGTTGCTGTTGCAGTGAGCTCGTGTTGTCAGCATTCACTTAAAATGCCCTGTGCTGCTGATCATCTCCACATGAGCAGCTTGTCTCCTTAGTAAATTGTGCGTCACAGTAAAAAGGGATTTCTCATGGTTCTTGCATATTTTCATCATGTTTAGTGTAACACCGTTTTAGTAACAACATGGGATTCATATGATGTGCCACTGATGATGCTGGAAGTGCTACCAAGAAGCAGAAAAAAGTTATTATATTACAAGAAAAAGTTGATTTGCTTGATATGTACCGTAGATTGAGGTCTGCAGCTGCAGTTGCCTGCCATTTAAAGGTAAATGGATCCAGCATAAGGAGCACTGTAAAAAAAGAAAAAGAAACACATGAAGCCATTGTTACTGGTATCCCAGCAGATGTGAAAACCTTTCACATTTTGTGAAATATCTTTTTGTCTTGCACTGAAAATGCAGCTTTTATGTGGGTGCAGAATTGTTACTAAAAAAGGCAGACCTACACAATTTAATATAATTTGAGAAAAAGCAAAGTCATTATATGACAATTTAAAGCAAAAGGAAAATGAAGAATCGGAAGCTGAAGTATTTAATGCCAGCGAAGGAAGGTTTGATAAATTTAGAAAGAAGTATGGATGAAAATATGTAACAATAACAGAAGACGCAGCTTCTGCCAATCAAGAAGCAACAGACAAATTCCTAGATGCCATTAAAAAAAACAGTGAGGAGAAGAGATAACTAACTGAACAGATTTATAATGCAGAAAAGTGCCCTGTTCTTGAAAAAATGCCACCAAAGATATTTATTACTAAAGAGGAGAATCAAGCACCAGGATGTAAGGCAGGAATGGATAGACTAACTCTACTGTTTTGTGCAAATGCAGTCAGGTTTATGATCAGGACTGCCTTTATCTATAAAGCTGCTGACCTCTAAGCCTTAAAGAGAAAATATAAGCACCAGCTGCCAGTCTTTTGGGTTGTACAGTAGGAAGGCCTGGACAATGAGAACCCTGTTTTTGAATTGATTCCTTCCATGCTTTGTCTCTGAACTCAGGAAGTATTCTACAGTAAGACACTGCCTTTTAAAGTTCTTTTGATATTGGACAATGTCCCCGAATACTTGAAACCCCGTGAATTCAACACCAAAGGTGTTGAAGTGGTCTCCTTCCCCCAGATGCAATATGTCAAGCTCAGCCTCTAGATCAGGGCTCATAGGAACCTTTAAGGCTAATTACACGTGATTCTCTATGGAAAGGATTGTGAACACTATGAAAGAGAACCTGGATACAGAGAGCGTCATGCGAGCCTGGAAGAATTACACCATTGAAGATGCCATTATTGTTATAGAAAGAAACATGAAAGCCATCAAGCCCAAAACAATAAATTTCTGCTGGAGAAAACTGTTTTCAGATGTCGTGCATTACTTTACAGGACTTACAACAGAGCTAACCAGGGAAATCATGAAAGATATTGTGAATATGTTAAAAAAAATGTGTTTAGGGGGGTTTAGGCTTTGAAGATATGGGGCTTGGAGAAACTCTAGAGCTCACAGACCCCACACCAGACAAATTAAAAGAAAATGACTTGATGGAGATTAGTGCTTCCAAACCAGTGCCAGACAATGAAGAAGAAGACATAGAAACAGGGCCAGAAAAGAAATTGACATAAGGCAATCTGGCAGAAAGGTTCCAATGATTCAAGATTGCATTTGACTTCTTTTATGACATTGCCCTTTCTATGATATGGCCAGTGAAACTAAAGCAAATAATGGAAGAAGAATCGGTACTGTATAGAAAAACTCCTAGAGAAATGAAAAAGTGAAAAATTCAGAAAGAAATTATGACATATTTCTGTAAATGTACACAGAGTGTGCCTGCATCTCCTGCCTCCCCTTCTGCCTCTTCCACCTTTCCACCTCTGCCCCTCCTGACACAGCAAGACCAGACCTTCTTGTTTTTCCTCCTCGTCAGCCTACTCAAGGTGAGTATGCAGACATTTATGTTGCAGACCTTTATGATGATCCACTTCTGCTTAATGAATAGTAAATACATTTTCTCTTCCTTATGATTCTCTTACTAACCTTTTTTCTCCAGCTTACTTTATTGTAAGAATACAGTATATAATGCATGTAATTAGTATATAAAATCTACTCTTTTTCGACTGTGTTAATTGACTGTTTATGTTCCATTTCTGGAGAGTCAAAAGTTTGAAGAAAAACTGAATTCTATTCTATACATAGCTGCATTCTGTAAAAGCATGTGACCACACAGTAATGAACATTATAATGTTCATTTTGCTTATCATTTCGAAGTGTGAATTAATGATTTTAGCAGTGTGTTCTTAGGCATTTGTAGTTAATTTGTCTACCCTGCTAATCTACAGTATAATATATAATTACAAAGAAGCAGTGGGAGGAAAAAATAGTGGTAATCCCAACAGAGGTGTTAACATAGATTCCAATTTTACTGAAAAGAAGTAGAGATCCCACTGAAGCTGGCAAACAAAGAGAAATCTTCCTTAGCTAGTAAGATTTGCTAAATCTAACTTTTATCCTTTGTGCTATGTCAGATCATGTTGTTCTTCTGCTAAGAATTCTCCAATGACTTCCATCTCAGTAAAGGTAAGGGCCAAATCAAGCTTCTATACAACTGAACCCCTTACTCCTTTGACTGCAGCTTCTCCAACATTTTTGCTCACTCCACTTCATCAATGTAGTCCTCTTTGCTGTTGGAAAGAGGCAAGCTTAGAGCTGTTGCATCTCCTTTCCTTCTGTTTGAAATTATCTTCCCCAAGATAACCATATTTTTCACTTCGTTGTTTCCTGATCTTTGTTCAAATGGCACCATCTCAGTGAATTTTTCCCTGATGATACTATATAAAATTATGTTTCCTCACCTCCTCTTGTCTGCTTATTTTTGTTTCTTAATGCTTACTACCTTCTAATATGCTTCATAATTTACTTATTTATTTTGTTTACATTCCATCTTCCCCAAGTATGTAAGATCCATGAGGGCAAAGGTTTTTGCCTATTTGTTTACTGATATTTCTGCAGTGCCAGTAACATTGCCAGACACACAGTAGGTGCTCACAAATACCTGTTACATGAATGAATGAATGATGGATGGTAAAATAAGGAAAACCTGTTTGTTCTACTAGTAATGTATGAATCTTCAAGCTTGCTCACAGTTAATTACATGCAATAATTTTAGGGAAAAAATCTTTCCATAAGCCACCCTCTTTTGTTTCTGACTGAAGCTTTCTTTTACCCTCTCAATAGGTAACATGATGCATATCTTCAAACACATTTTTTGCATTTTTCCATTGAAGAACAAACTGGAATGTTTGGGGAAAGATAACTTCATAAGCAAAAGTATAGCTGAAACTCAGAACATAAATAGCATTTCAATGCTCTTTAATAGGGTACAATATTACAGGAAGCTAAATGTCAAAGTATGTAAGTTTTTCCTTTCCTGTCATATAAGACAGCCCTAACAATATTCTCTGTTATATGTTTGAAAATGGAAGATTATTCATATTCTAAGTGGAACTTCCAGAAAGTATGCATATAATGAAAGGTAGGTAGATAATAAGGTAAGAGGTGTCCTAAAAATAATAGACACCCATGAGATCTGATACAGGATGAATGACTTATTCTTATAAATTTCAGTGCAGAATTTATGTGAAATATTAATTTAGCAGTATATCATCAGCTGAAAGGGACTGGTAAGTACAGTAAATAATTAATTTGAAACTACTTTTTAACAGAAACCAAGCTTTTTAATCACTAGGCTGCTAAAGAATCTGTTAGCATAAAATAATAGATATAACTGTCAACATGGACAATATCTGTGTGCTTTTTTAAAAATAATTTTTCCATCATCACCTGGATTTTTACGGAAAGATCCTACTAACTTATCCTTGAAAAATCAATTCACCCACTATCAGTCACATATGCTAAACAAGGTTGCAAAATAATTGTGAGAGAAGAGCGACCATAATCTGCACAATGTGAATGAGTAAATTTAAACTGCTATTAAAATATATAAATGACCTAATTTGGGTTAAAATTATTTTCATGATAAAACTTTATTATACCCCACATCATTCAAACCTGGCATATTTTTTCCAAAGGCAGCTAACATTCAGCCTAATGAGTGAGATCACACGGATTGAGCTGCTGTCCATTTCCTTGAGGCTGAAAGAACTATCTTTGCTCATTGATTGTTTGAGAAACTATCACAATGTGATGTTTTCTAAAAAAAAAAAATTCAAGGATAAGTCTCTTTTAAAAGTAATCGTTTATTGTTTTTGGTTATGGGTTTTAATAGATTGACCAGTAAGATGTATAATAGAAAATTAATTTTCTTAAAATAAAATGTGAAAAAAGAGGTTTTCATTTAAAAATTATGTAGAGAATTATCTTTGTACTACAATCTCATGTTTATAATACATGGTTCTTTTCTGAGTTTCCAAACCAGAAATTTGAACATCTGAGACTAATCTACTTTGCTGTCTACCAAAATTTCACTCTCCTTCTGATTGCACTGAGCACATTCTGACAAAGCTAAGCTATATAGTCAGGATACCTGGGCTGGAGCAGTTTCTGGGAAGGTATTTTGAGAAAGATATATTAGTAATAACATTGTAAATACACATTTGGACATGCACTATCTCAAGAGGATTATTGATTACTTATTCATTCAACAAACATTTGTTGAGATATCCCAAAATACAGACATGCCTTTAAGAAGCTCAATATATGGATGGAGGGCAGCATGTAGCACAAATAATTTATATTCATTATATATTATTCTAAGTGCAATTATAGAGATACATCATAGGTATAGCGGTGCCATAAATAAGGACTGCTAAACAGTGCTTTTTTGGATCACAGGAATTTTCACTGTGGAAGAACCATTTGATCTGGATATTGAAAGAGTGTTGCACAATCATTATATGAAGTTACAATAAATTTATAGTTTCCACATTGTGGTAGGGTGTTAATTATTGTCCAATAATTTTTAGTCACCATGAAGACAGAGAAGATCTCAGATTCCTTTACGTTGCTCTTCAATGTCCACTCCAGACTTATATTTTTTTTACCTCAAATCTCCTAACATTCCACTTTCTCTTTCGGTGTTAGCAGACTTAGCCTCTCACTTCACTGAGAAAATGGAAGCCGTAAGTCGAGAAATTAGTACAACTTCCTTACTTTTCCCATACTGTGTATCTTCATGTCCACATATCTTTTACTTCCTCACTCATAACTCAATGGAAGAGGGCTCCCTTCTTCTCCACATGACAAATTTCTCCCCTTCTGTTTCTTCTGTCTCCTAAGAAACTTGTTCCATCAGATAACATCTCTATATTCTTTGTCAATAACGTAAGTCTCTCTAGTCATCATGCCATTTTCTTTATAGCTAAGAGTCATCATAATAGTAGTCTGTAGTTATTTACTGCCTCTGCTTATTTACTGCCCATTGTCCCCAAATTACAATCATCTGGCTTCTCAACGACCCCTTCCATTCCCTTGAAATAGAAGACCCTGTCTTCCCAATTTATCAATGCGATCAGTATTTCCAAAGGCTCCAGTCACTTTGCTTTCCCTATCTTACTTCATCTCTCTTTGATATTTTGCACTGTGGCCCACTGTCTTCGTGAGATTGTCCTTCCTCAATTTCTATGATACTCCTTTCTCCTTGTTTTCCTCTATCATTATGGCTATTTCCTCTTACTCCCTTTACAGGTTCTTCAGTGTGAATAATCCTAAAATGTTCATGATATTCAGGAACCTATCCTCACCACCTGCTTTTTAGACTCCATAGGCTCTTTCTGGATAATATCAGGCATGTTCACATCTGTAGTTTTATGCCTGTAACTCCAAAGTTTCTATCTATAGTCATAACCTCACTACAGAATTCCAAACCAAGCATGTTCAGCTTGCAACTGGACATCTCCATTGCCATATTCCATTGGAAACTTTAAAAAAAGTCTTTCTTCAGTCTTTTCTTTCTTTATCCTAGTTTTCATTCCTTCCTAAGCATTATTCAGTATCCACTAAAGCTTAGGCTTAAAAAAGAATGCCATGGAGTTACTACTGTATGCATACAAGTCCCCAAAAGACAAAAAAAATAGCAAGCTAGAATATAAAATACAAGAAATAAAAGTGACCTTTTAATAAAACATTCTATAAACAAATGTACAAGCAAAAAACAAACAGCCCCATTAAAAACTGGGCAAAGGACAAGAACAGACAGTTTTCAAAAGATGACATACTGGGCCAAAAAGCATATGAAAAAAAAAATGCTTAACATCACTAATGATTAGAGAAATGCAAATCAAAACCACAATGAGATACCATCTCACACCAGCCAGAATGGCTATTACTAGGAGGTCAAAAGAGAACTGACCTCAAGTGAACCTCCCACCTTGGCCAGTGAATGTTCTGGGACTACAGGTGTGGGCTACCACACCTAGCCCCCAAATTATAATTACTAGAAAGATGTCAATATGTCCAGAAAGTTTTATTTTTTAACTTTTATTTTAGGTTCAGGGGTGTGTGTGGGGGTTTGTTACATACGTAAACTATGCGCCACGGGGGTGTGGTGGACAGACCATTTTGTCCCCCAGGTAATAAGCATAGGACCAGATAAGTATTTTTTCTGATTCTCTCTCTCCTCCCATACTCCATCCTCAAGTAGGCCCCAGGCAAGGTGCAAGCAAGATGCTGCCGAGGTTGCACTGAAAAGCGAACACTTATACACTGCTGCTGGGAGTGTAAACTAGTTCAGCCACTGTGGAAAGCAAAGTGGCGATTTTTCAAAGAACTTAAAACAGAATTACCACTTGACCCGGCAATCCCATTATTGGCTATATACCCAAAGGAATATAAATCATCCTACCTTAATGACACATGCACGCATATGTTCATTGCAGCCCTGTTTATAATAGCAAAGACATGGAATTGACTTAATGCCTATCAATGGAAGACTAAAGAAAATGTATATATATATATACACACACATATATATACATGTATATATACACGTATATATATACACATATATATGCGTGTATATATATACATGCATATATATACATGCATATATATACATGTATATATATACATGCATATATATGCATGTATATATATACATGCATATATATGCATGTATATATATACATGCATATATATATATATATATATATATAAATGAAATATTATGCAGACGTTGAAAGGAATGAGATCATGTCCTGTGCAGCAACATGGATAGAGCTGGTGGCCATTATTTTAAGCAAACTATTATTTTAATGCAGCTACAGAAAACCAAATACCACATGTTCTCACTTATAACTGGGGGGTAAACAATGAGAACATACAGACACGAAGAGGGGAACAACAGAAACTGGGGCCTCCTTGAGGGTGTAGAGTGAGAGGAAGGAGGGGATCAGAAAAAACACCCATGTGGTCCTATGCTTGTTACCTGCGTGACAAAATAATTTGTGCAACAAACCCTCATGACATGCAGTTTACCTGTGTAACAAACCTGCACATGCACCACTGAACCTAAAATAAAAGTTAAAAAAGAAAACATTCTGGGATATTGACACTGTTCTAATAATTATAATTTGGGGGCTGGGTGCAGCAGCCCACACCTGTAATCCCAGGTTTTGGGAGCTGGAGGTGGAAAGATCACTTGAGGTTAGGAGTTCAAGACAAACTTGAGCAACATAGTGAGACCCTGTCTTTAAAAAATTAGCCAGGCATGGTGGCTTGAGCCCAGAAGTTTGGGATTACAGTGAACTATGTTTGTACCACTGCACTCCAGCCTGAATGAGAAAGAACATGTCTCTTAAAAAAGTTATAATTTGGACATAACACACTAATATAATTAGAATTAATCGAGCATCTTAGAGCCTTCAAAATATCTTAGTTTAATAAATTATTATTATTATTATTTTTTGAGACAGAGTCTCACTCTGTCGCCCAGGCTAGAGTGCAATGGTGCGATCTCAGCTCACTGCAACCTCCGCCTTCTGGGTTCAAGAGATTCTCCTGCCTCAGCCTCCCGAGTAGCTGGGACTACAGGTATGTGCCACCATGCCCTGCTAATTTTTTGTATTTTTAATAGAGACGGGGTTTCACCGTGTTAGCCAGGATGGTCTCGATCTCCTGACCTTGTGATCCACCCGCCTCGGCCTCCTAAAGTGCTGGGATTACAGGTGTGAGCCATACCGCGCCTGGCCTAGTTTAATAAATTATTTTAAGTGACAACATATTGGCTAAGCTCATGTTTGCCTTAGAAAGCTAGAAGGAAACAGTTTGGCATTACAGTGGGAATCTAATATTTCATTTGAGTTAATCTGAGAGCATGTTATTGTTTACATTTAAAATACATTTAAATACATTTCTAAGAAAATCACTAATTATCATAAGCGAACAAAGAAGAATGATTGATTATAATTCGCTAAGCCCTCTTCCCTAGTGTTTTCTCAAATCAAGGGGAGTGGTTGACTGTATTACCAGTTTAAGCCAAACACAGGTTTCAGCTTGGATCATTTGAATAACTCAAATAAAAGTGGAATTTATGCCTGAAAGATGAGTGTTATCCTCTCAATTTGTTTGATTGTGAGGATCTGATCAAGCTGGTAAAGGGAGCCTGGCTTAAGTATGTTCTGATTTCATTTTATTCTTATTTATTTATTTATATCTCATTTTCTAAAACTATCTTCAACTTCTTTGTCCTCACTTTCTACTAATATGTTTTCTCAGGTTCTCTGTAACCAGCATCATGTTTGGAGGGGTATAAAAACAGAAAAACTAGTCATTTTAATATGCTTGATTTAGTGTAAAATAACTGGCTTGCTTGTGGGTTTTATGTTAGTTTATTTTCATTGAATTAATTTATTTTCTCACTAAAATCTTTGAATTATCTAATTACTTCAATTTCCAATGCAGAGGAATCACAAAAACATAAAATCACTCTCTGAGTTAAAAGTTCCCAACTCATGTAAACAAGTGGAAACAAAAAATAATTACAGGCTTACAATAAAAACATCAAAAGAGCACAAATATAGTAGCGATTTTAATGAAGAGGATGGTTATTTTTACCTTAGAGTTAGATTAGAAGAAGCTTTATGAATGGTGTCATTAAAGGGTTTAAGTGGAAAATGACATTGTCAGATGTACATTGTATATAGATTACTTCTAAGAAGATATAAAGATTGGATTGGATAGGTGTAAAATTGAATCTAAAAGACAAGTTAGGAAATTATTGCAATCATCTCTGCAAAATAATATATAGGCCTGGCCTAAGGCATTGGGAGTGAAAAAGAGAAGGTATAAGCAAGGGGAAGGATGTTGACTCAGGTGTCTGAGCAGGGGTTGAGGTAAAAAAAATTTGGAATGACTCTGAAGTTTCTGACCTAAGATAGTAGAAACATGAATGAGGATGTGAGAGACAGGAAAACATAAGACCTATTAGGGAGGATGTTGTGATGATGAGATTACTTTTTGACATACTAACCTTGAAAAGCCTGTGGTATATTCAAGTATGAAATGTCAAATTGCAGGTTTTTCTTTTTTGTCTGAATATTAGGAAACAGATCTGGGGGTAGAAAGGGTTAAGGATTTCTGAATGTCAGCATATTGGTGGTTGAAACATTAATAGTAAATGAATTTATCAGGGGACATTATATTGAGTGAGACGGGAATTGAAGATAAAACCCTAAAGAACACTTGCGTTGAACGGAAAAAAAATATGGCAAACAGTCAAGAAAGAAACCTTCCACAAATGGTCAAATGTAGGAAAAGAACCAGAACAGTGTGTTATCAAGGAAGCCTAAAACAAGAGACCATTTTCAGACAAAATAGAGTGGTAAATTATATCAGATATCATAGAAAAATCTTATTCTGTATGAGACTGCTTCCCAGCTGGAGTTGAAAAATAATATTTTAAGTTACTTTCTTTATGCTCAGCTCAGCTATCATAATGTGATGTTTGAGCCAAAATTTGTAATTAATCCTTGCCCTTTCTCTATTCTTGAGAAGTTATAATTCAGAGATAATAAGTAAGAAGAAAATAAGAGTTAGCTTGACTTCTGTTGATCTTTTGTGTCTGATATGGTTTGGATCTATGTTGCCACCTAAATCTCATGTCGAATTGTAATCCCCAATGTAGGAGTTTGAAGCTGGTGGGAGGTGTTGAATTATGGGGACAGATTTCTCCCTTGGTGCTGTTCTTGTGATAGTGAATAAGTTCTCATGAGATCTGGTTATTTAAAAGTGTGTGGCACTTTCCCCAGCCGTCCTCCTACTCTAGCCATGTCAAGTGCTGGCTCCCCATGTGCCTTCTGTCATGATTGTAAGTTTCCTGAGGCCTCCCCAGAAGCTGAGCAGATGCTGTGACACTTCCTGTACAGACTGTGGAATCATGAGCCAATTAAACCTCTTTTCTTTATAAATTACCCAGTCTCGGGCATTCCTTTATAGCAATGTGAGAACTGAAGAATACAATGTCAAAGAAAGAAGCACGGGGCAGAGCAAGATGGCTGAATAGAAGCCTCCACTTATCATCCACTCTTTCATGAACACCAAATTTTAACAACTACACAGAAATGCATCATCATAAGAAGCAAAAATCAAGCGAGCAATCAGAGTACCCAGTTTTAACTTTCTATTGCTGAAAGAGACTCTGAAGAGGGTAGGAAAGACAGTCTTGGGTCACTGATGCTACACCTCCCCCATCCTTTAGCAAGGACCACATGGAACGCAGAGAGAATCTGTGCACTTGTGGGAGAGAGAACACAATGACCGGAGGAATTGGCATTGAACTCAGTGCTGCCTTGTCACAGCAGAGAGCAAAGCCATGCTGGATTCAGCCAGCACTCACTCATGGAGGGAGCATTTGGATCAGTCCTGCCAGAGGGGAATTATCTATCTCAGAGATAGAAACTTGAATTTCTCAGCAAGCCTTGCCACTGTGGGATAAAGGGCTCTGGGGTCCAAGGTAAACTTGAAAGGCAGTCAAAGACACAAGGACTGCAGTTACTAGGCATGTCCTAGTGCTGGTCTGGATTTAGAGTCAGCAGACTATGATGGGACATGACCTAGGTATAGAGAGGCTAAAGAAATGCTTGTGACACCTCTTTCCCAACCCCAGGCAGCACAGCTTACACCAACAAAAGTGACTTCTTCCTTCTGCTTGAGGAAAGGAGAGGAAAGGGTAAAGAGGACTTTGTCTTGCATCTTGGATCACAGACACAATAGGATAGGGTACTGGTACTGGGCAGATTCATGAGGTCCCCATTCTAGGCCCTACCTCCAAGAAGACATTTCTAGACACACCTGGGACCAGAAGGTAACCCACTGACTTGAAGAAAATTACCTGGTCCTTGCAGAATTCACCATCTGCTGATTGAAGAGCCCTTGGGGCCTGAATAACCAAGAGTGATACCCAGGTAGTATGCCATGGGTCTTTAGTGAGGCCGAGATGTGCTGGATTCAGGTAAAACCCAGCACATTTCAGGCTATGTTGGTTATAGTGAAAGACTTCTTCTGCATGAGAAAATCAGAGAGAAAAGTGAAGGGAACTTTGTCTTGCACCTTAGGTACCTACCAGCTCAGCCCCAGTGGGGTAGAATGCTAAGTGGGCTTTTGCAGTCTCCAAGTCCAGGCCTAGGCTCCTGAGCAGTATTTCTGGACATTCCCTGGGACTCAGGGGTGATTATTTCACTGTAGAGTGAATCCCAGGCCTGGCGGCATTCACCACAAGCTGACTGAAGAGCCCTTGGAATGTTAAGTGAGCAGTAGTGGTTGCCTGGCAAATTCCCCGTGTGCTGGTGGTGGTGATGGCCACTGGGAGAGGCTCCTGTGCCTGGAAAAAGGGGAGAAAAGAGCAGGAAGGATTTTGTCTTGTGGTTTGAGAGCCAGCATAACTGCAAAGGAATAGAACACCAGGGAGATTTCTAAGGTTTTTGAATCCAATCCCTGGCTCCCAGACAAAATTTCTAGACCTGCATGGGGCCTGGGGGGACTTGCCATTCTGAAAGGAAGGACAGAAATTTGGCTGGCTTCCCCATTTGCTGATTGTAGAGACTTAGGGTCTTGAGTGAACATAGTCAGTAGCCAGGTAGTACTAACAGTGGGCCTCGGGTGAGACCCAGTGCTGTGCTGTCTTCAGGTTTGACGCAGCACAATCCCAGTCACGGTGGTGACAGTGGTGTGTATGGTAACCCACACCCAGCTCCAAGCAGCGTAGCACACAAAGAGATTGTTTGGGAGAAAGTGAGGAAAGAGGACAAGAGTATCTCCCTATAATCCAGATAATTCTTCTGCATCTTATCCAAGAACATCAAGGTGGTACCTTTATGAGTCTACAAGAACCACTGAATTATTGAGCTTGAGGCCCAAGTCCCTTTGAATATCTGGAAAGCCTTCTCAGAAGAGATAAACAAAAACAACTCTACACTGTGAAGCCTATGATAAATACCAAACTCTTCAATGCTCAGACACTGGTGAACATCCACAAGCATCAAGACAGTCATCATGACCTCACCAAAGGAACTAAACAAGGCATCAGAGACCAACCCTGGATAAACAGAGATATGTGAAATTTCAAACAGATAATTCAAAATAGCTGTTTTGAGGAAACTCAAGGAAACCCAATATAATACCAAGAAGAAATTTAGTTATATCAGATAAATGTAACAAAGAAATTGAAATAATTAAAAAGCATCAAGCAGAAATTCTAAGATTGAAAAATGCAATTGACATACTGACTAATGTGTCAGAGGCTCTTAATAGCAAAATTGATCAAGCAGAAGAACAATTAGTGAAATTGAAAACAGGCTATTTGAAAATAAAGTCAGAGGAGGTAAAACAAAAATAAAAAACAATAAAGCATGTCTACAATATCTAGAAAATAGCCTCAAAACGGCAAATCTAGGAGTTATTGGCCTTAAAAAGGAGGTAGAGAAAGAGATAGGGGTTGAAAGTTTACTCAAAGTGATGGTAACAGATATCTTCCCAAATCTAGAGAAAGATATTGGTATCCAAATACAAAAAGGTTACAGAACACCAAGCAGATTTAACACAAAAACACTACCTCAAGGGATTTAATAATCAAATTCCCAAAAGTCAAAGATAAAGAAAGGTTTCTAAAAGCAGCAAGAGAAAAGAAAAAAATTACATACAATGGAGCTCCATTATGTCTGCAAGCAGACATTCCAGTGGACACCCTATAGGCCAGGAGAGATTGGCATGACATATTTAAAGTGCTGAAGCAAGAAAAAACAAACAAACAAACAACAAACTTTTACCCTGGAATAGTATATCTGGTAAAAATATTCTTCAAACATGAAAGAGAAAAAAAGGCTTTCCAGACAAAGAAACTTTGAGGGATTTCATAAACACCAGATATGACTTACAGGAAATGCTAAAGAGAGTTTTTCAGTCTGAAATAGAATTACATTAATCAGAAATAATAAATCATCTGAAGGTATAAAACTCATTGGAAATAGTAAGTACATAGAAAATCACCAAATATAATAACACTGTAATTGTGATGTGTAATCTATTCATATCTCAAGTAGAAAGACTAACAGAATAACCAGTCAAAAATAATACTACAACTTTTCAAGACATAGACAGTACAATAAGATACAAATGGAAAAAAACAAAAACTTATAAATGGGGGGTAGGTGAAGTTAAAGAGTAAGGTTTTTATAAGTTTTTTATTTTGCTTGTTTGTTAAGATGTTTATGCAATCAGTGTTGAGTTGCCATCACTTTAAAATAATAGGTTATAAGACATTATTTGCAAGACTCATGGTAACCACAAATAAAAAAAAATGAATACTCAAAAAAATGAAAAGCAAGAAATTAAATTGTCATACCACAAAAGAAAATTACCTTCACTAAAAGGAAGACAGAGAGGAAGAGAAAAAGGAAGAGAAGGTGACAAAATCATCAGAAAACAAATAACTAAATGGCAGGAGGAAGTTCTTACTTCTCAATAATATTTAATGTAAATTAACTGAACCCTCCAATAAAAAGACATAAAATGGATAAAAATACAAGATCCAGTGATTTGTTGCCTACTGGAAACACACTTCTCCAATAAAGACACATATAAACTGAAAATAAAGAGATGAAAAAGATATTCAATGGCAATGGAAACCATAAAAGAGCATGTGTAGTTATACTCATAACACAAACAAAAAAATAAACTTTAAGACAAAAATGTATAAAGAGACAAAGAAAGTCATTATGTAATGAAGGTGTCAACATAGCAAGAGGACATCAAAATTGTAAAAGTATATGCACCAAACACTGGAGCACCCAGATATATAAAGCAAATATTGTTAGAACTAAAGACAGAGACCGAAATAAAATAATATCTAGAAAATTCAACACCCAACTTTCAGCATTTGACAGATCTTCCAGACAGAAAATCAATAAAGAAACATTAGACTGAATGTCCTCTATAGCCCAAATGGATTTAATAGATGATTACAGAACATGTCATTGAAGAGCTACGGAATACTCGTTTTTTTCTTCAGCATATGGACTATTCTCAAAGATAGCCCATATGTTATGTCACAAAACAAGTCTTAAAACATTCAAAAAATTGGCCGGGCGCGGTGGCTCACGCCTGTAATCCCAGCACTTTGGGAGGCCGAGGCGGGTGGATCATGAGGTCAGGAGATCGAGACCATCCTGGCTAACAAGGTGAAACCCCGTCTCTACTAAAAATACAAAAAATTAGCCGGGCGCGGTGGCGGGCGCCTGTAGTCCCAGCTACTCGGGAGGCTGAGGCAGGAGAATGGCGTGAACCCGGGAAGCGGAGCTTGCAGTGAGCCGAGATTGCGCCAGTCCAGCCTGGGCGACAGAGCGAGACTCCGTCTCAAAAAAAAAAAAAAAAAAAAAAAAAAAAATTCAAAAAATTGAAACAAAAGCAAACATCTTTTCTGATAACAATGGAATAAAACTAGAAATCAATAACAAGAGTAATTTTGGAAACTATAAAAACACATGATAATTAAACAATATGTTCCTGAATGGCAAGTGACTCAAAGAAGAAATTAAGAAGAAAACAGAAAAATTTATTGAAACAAATGCTAGTGGAAACACAGCATACCAAAACTTATGTATTACAGCAAAAGCAGAACTACAAGATAAATTTATGATTTTAAGTGCCCATATTAAAAAAAGAAGTAAAACTGCAAATAAATAACCTAATGATGCATCTTAAAGAACTAGAAGAGCAAGAGCAAACTAAATTCATGGTTAGTAGTAGAAAAAATAAAGATCAGAGCAAAAATAGATGAAATTAAAACTAGAAAGCAATACAAAAAATCAAAGAAAGAAAAATTTTTCCTAAAAGGTAAATGAAATTGACAAAACTTTAGCCACAATAACTAAGAGAAAATGATAGAAAATCCAAATAAGATCAACAGTAAAAAAGGAGAGATTACAGCCAATACCACAGAAATTAAAAGTATAATTAGTGGTTACTATGAGCAACTATATACCAATAAGTTGGATGATCTAGAGGAAATGGACAAATTTCTAGACATATACAACCTACCAAGTTTGGACCACAGAGAAATTTAAACTTGAAGAGACCAATAACAAGTGACAACAACAAAATTGTGTTAAAAGTCACCCAGTAAAGAAAAGCCCAAGATTCAATGGTTTCACTGCTGAATTCTACCAAACATTTAAAGTAAAACTAATACCAATCTTACTCAAACTATTTCAAAAATAGAGGAGAAAAGTATACTTCCAAACTCATTCTATAAAGCCAGTATTACCTCAGTATCAAAACCAGACAAAGACACATGAAAAAATAAAAGTACAGGACAATATCTCTGATGAATATTGATGAAAAAATAATAACAAAATACCAGTAAACCAAATTCTATGAGACATTACAAAGATCATCCATCAAGTGGGATTTATCCCAGGAATGCAAGGTGAGATTGACATACACAAAATAATCAAGTAATACATCATATTCACAGAATGAAGAACAAAATCCATGTGATTATTTCAATTGATGCTGGAAAAGCATTTAATAATATTCAACATCCCTTCACTGGGCCAGGCGCGGTGGCTCTCGCCTGTAATCCCAGCACTTTGGGAGCCTGAGGTGGGCAGATCACTTGAGGTTGGGAGATTGAGAAACTCCCTTCATTATGAAAACACTAAAAAACTAGGTACAGAAGGAACATACATCAACATAATAAAAGCCATATGACAGGTCTACAGCTAGTATCATCACGAATGGGGGAAAATGGAAAACCTTTCCTCTAAGAATTGGAACAGGACAAGGATGCCCACTGTCACCACTGTAATTCAACATAATACTGGACATTCTAGCTAGATAAATTAGACAAGAGAAAGATATAAAGCACATCCAACTTGTTAAGAAAGAAGTCAAATTATCCTTGTTTGCAGATGATATGGTCTTATATTCAGTAAAACCTAGAAATTCAGCCAGAAAACTATTAGAACTGATAAATGAATTCAGCAAAGTTGTACATAAAATCAACATAGGAAAATCAGTAGCATTTCTATATGTCAACAGTGAATATTAAGAAAAATAATTAAAATGTAATTTTAATTACAATACCCAAAAAGCAAATTAAATATCTAGGATTTAACTTAAAGAAGTTAAAGATCTCTATAATGAAAACTATAAAATACTGATGGAAGAAATTCAAGAGGATGCAAAAAACTGTAAAGTTAGTTTATGTTTATAGATTGGAAGAATCAATAATGTTAAAATGTCCATACTACCCTAAGCAACCTGCAGATTTAATGCAATCCCAATCAAAATACCTATGACATTCTTCACAGAGATAGAATCAACTATCCTAAAATGTATACGGAACCCCAAAAGACACAGAATAGTCAAAGCTATTCTGAGCACAAATAACCCCAAAATTGGAGGAATCACATTACCTGACTTCTAACTATAGTAGTTATAGTTAAAAGTAGTTATACAGAGCTATAGTAACAACAAGAGCATAGTACTGGCATAAAAACAGACACACTGATTTCATTAGTCTGTTTTTAAATGGCTGATAAAGACATACCCGAGACTAGGCAATTTACAAAAGAAAGAGATTTAATTGGACTCACAGTTCCATGTGGCTGGGGAAGCCTCACAATCATGGCAGAAGGCAAGGAGGAGCAAGTCTTATCTTACATGGATGGCAGCAGGCAAAGAGAGGAGGAAGATGCAAAAGTGGAAATCCCTGGTAAAGCCATCAGATCTTGTGATCTCATACCATGAGAACAGTATGGGGGAAACTGCCCCCATGATTCAGTTATCTCTCAATGGGTCCCTCCCACAACATGTGGCAATTATGGGAATATAATTCAGGATGAGATTTGGATGGGGACACAACCAAACCATATCATTCCACCCCTCCCCCCTCCCAAATCCCACATCTTCACATTTCAAAACCAACTGTGCCTTCCCAACAGTCCCCCAAATCCTAACTCATTTCAGCATTAACTCAAAAGTCCACAGTCCAAAGTCTCATCTAAGAAAAAGTAAGTCTCTTCCGCCTATGAGCCCGTAAAACCAAAAGCAGGTTAGTTACTTCCTAGATACAATGGGGGTGCAGACACTGGGTAAATACAACTATTCCAAATGGGAGAAATTGGCCAAAATAAGGGGGCTAAAGGGCCCATGCAAGTCCTAAATGTAGTGGGGAAGTTAAATCTTAAAGCTCTAAAATGATCTCCTTTGACTCCATGTCTCACATCCAGGTCATGCTAATGCAAGAAGTGGGTTCCCATGGTCTTGGGCAGCTCGGCCCCTGTGGCTTTGCAAGGCACAGCTTCTTTCCTGGCTGCTTTCATGGGCTGGCATTGAGTGTCTGCAGCTTTTCCAGGCTGTCAGTGGATCTAATATTCTGGGGTCTGGAGGACGGTGGCACTCTTCTCACAGCTCCACTAGGTGGTGCCCCGTGGGGACTCTGTGTGGGGGCTCCAACCACACATTTCTTTTCCGCACTGCCCTAGCAGAGGTTCTCCAGGAGAGGTCCGCCCTTGCAGCAAACTTCTGTCTGGGCATCCAAGCATTTCCATACATCTTCTGAAATCTAGGTGGAGGTTCCCAAACCTCAATTCTTGACTTCTGTGCACCCACAGGCTCAAGCTTGGGGCTTGCACCATCTGAAGCCATGGCCCAAACTCTATGTTGGCCCCTTTCAGCCATGGCTGGAGCAGCTAGGACACAGGGCACCAAGTCCCTAAGCTGCACACAGCTTGGGGAACCTGGGCCTGGCCCACGAAACCACTTTTGCTCCTAGACCTCCAGGCCTGTGATGGAAAGGGCTGCCATGAACACCTCTGACATATCCCTCTGATGTATCTCCATTGTCTTGGGGATTAACATTTGCCTTCTCGTTACTTATGCAAATTTCTGTAGCCAGCTTGAAACTCTCCTTCGAAAATGGGATTTTCTTTTCCATTGCATTATCAGACTGCAAATTTTTCATACTTTTATGCTCTGTTTCCCTTTTAAAACTGAATGCTTTTAATAGCACCCAAGTCACCACTTGAATGCTTTGTTGCTTAGAAATTTCACCCACTTGATGCCTTAAATCATTTCTTTCAAGTTCAAAGTTTCACAAATCTCTAGGGCACGGGCAAAATATTGCCAGTCTCTTTGCTAAGACATAACAAGTCACTTTTGCTCCACTTCCCAACAAGTTCCTCATCTTCATCTGAGACCATCTCAGCCTGAACCTTATTGTCCATATCACTATAAGCATTTCCGGCAAAGCCATTCAACAAGTCTCTAGGAAGTTCCAAACTTTTCCACCTTTTTCTTTCTTCTTCTGAGCCCTCCAAACTGTTCGAACCTCTGCCTGCTACTCAGTTCCAAAGTCACTTCCACATTTTCAGGTATCTTTTCAGCAACGCCCCCCTCTACTGTTACCTGTATCCATTTGCTATCATGCTGCTGATCAAGACATACCTGAGACTGGGCAATTTACAAAAGAGGTTTAATTGAACTTACAGTTCCATGTGGCTGAGGAAGCCTCATAATGATTGCAGAAGGCAAGGAGGAGCAAGTCCTGTCTTACATGAATGGCTGCAGGCAAAGAGAGAATGAGGAAGATGCAAAAACAGAAACCCCTAATAAAACCATCAGATTTTGTGAGACTTTTTCACTACCACGAGAAAAGTATGGGGGAATCTGCCCCCATGATTCAATTATCTCCCACTGGGTCCCTCCCATGATATGTGGGAATTATGGGAGTACAATTCAAGATGAGATTCGGGTGGGGACACAGCCAAACCATATTATTGACCAATAGAAGAGAATAAATAACACAGAAACAAATCCACATATCTATAGTGAACTCACTTTCCACAAAGGTACCAAGAACATACACTGAGGAAAACATAGTCTCTTTGATAAAAGTTACGGGGAAAACTGGATATTCTTATGTGCGCACACACACACACACACACACACACACACAAAAGTAGAGCCTCTTTCTCAACACATACAAAAATCAAATAAATATATATTAATGATTTAAATCTAAGATGTAAAACTATAAAATTGCTATTAAAAATTGTTAAACCTCTCTAGGACATTAGTCTGGGCAAAAATTTCTTGAGTAATACCCCAGAGGCAGAGACAATCAAGCAAAAATGGATAAATGGGATCACTTCAATTTAAAAAGCTTCTGTACAGCAAAGGAATCAATCAACAAAGTGAAGAGGCAGCCTATTGAATAGGAGAAAATATTTCCAAACTACTCATCTGTATTAGTCTGTTTTCACAGGGCTATAAAGATACTACCTGAGACTGGGTAATTCATAAACAAAAGATGTTTAATTGACTTACAGTTCAGCGTGTCTGGAGAGGCCTCAGGAAACTTATAATCATGATGGAAGGCAAAGAGGAAGTAAGGCATGTCTCACATGATGGCAGGAGAGAGAGTGCAGGGGAAACTGACACTTTTAAACCATAAGATCTTGTGAGAACTCCCTCACTATCACGAGAACGGCATGGGGTAAACCACCCCCATGATCCAATCAGCTCCTACCAGGTCCCTCCCTTAACACTTGAGGATTACAATTCAAGATGAGATTTGGGTGGGGATGCAGAGCCACATCATATCACCATCTGTCAAGGAATTAATAACCAGAATATATAAGGATCTCAAGCAATTCTATGGAACAAAAATCTAACAATTCAATTAAAAATGGGCAAAAGATTGGAATAGACATTTGTCAGAAGAAGACATACAAGTGGCAAACAGGCATAAGAAAAGGTGCTCAACATCATTGATCATCAGAGAAATGCAAATCAAAACTACAATGAGGTATCATCTCACCCCAGTTAAAATAGCTTTTATCTAATAGGCATTAACAAGTGCTGGCGAGTATGTGGAGAAAAGGGAACTCTCAGACATTATTGTTAGGCATGTAAATTAGTACTAACTATATGGAGAACAGTTTGGAGGTTCCTCAATAAACTAAAAAACACAACTACTGTATGATCTGGGAATCTCACTGCTGGGTGTATACCCCAAAAAAGGGAAATCAGTATATCAAAAGGATATCTGCACTCCCATGTTTGTTGCAGCACTGTTCACAATAGCTAAGATTTGGAAACAACTGATGAGCCCATCGACAGCTGAATGTATAAAGAAAATGCAGTACATACACACAATGGAGTACTATTTTTTTTAATATTTGAAGACATTTATTCTGAGCCAAATGTAAGTAACCATGACCCATGAGACAGCCCTCAGGAGGTCCTGAGAACATGTACCCAAGCTCATTGGGGTGCAACTTGATTTTATACATTTTAGGGAGGCATGAGACATCAATCGAATATATTTGAGAAATACATTTGTTTGCTCCAGAAAGGTGGGACAATTCGAAGTGGGGGCCTCTAGGCTATAGGTAAATTTAAATATTTTCTGGTTGATAATTGGTTGAGTTTGTCTAAAGACCTGGGATAAATAGAGAGGAATGCCAGTGTTGTAATAAGAGGTTGTGAAGTCCAAAGTTTTATCATGCAAGTGAAGCCTCCAGGTAGCAGGCTTCAGAAAGAATAGCTAGTAAAAGGTTTTTTATCAGAGCTGTTGATGTTAATGGCAGAGAGGTATAATGGCAGAGAGGTATAATGAGGCATGTCTGACCCCCACTTCCCTTCATGGCCTGAAACAGTCTTTCAGGTTAAAATTTAAGAGCCCCGGCCCAGGAGGAAGTTTATTCAAATGTTTGGGGAGGCCTTAAAATTTTATTTTTGGTTTACATTTTCCCCCTCTGGCCAAGATTTGCCAGAGAAACATCAAAGGCCAGCAAATCTTTATTTTGTTCCATAGTGTTGCCTGGGTGGCGTGGCTGCCTGCCCTGCATCCATCCTGTCCCTTGGTAGGACTCCCTATGGCTGAGGGCCTTAAGAGTCAAAGACTTATAATCAATTAATTGTTCTAGGCCAGATATAAAAGGTTGTGGACAGGCATTCATTACCTCCTAAAATTATTTTAAGAAAAAAACTCAGCAAACAAAACCGAAAGGCAACATTACCAGACTGACTTATTTTTAACCTCTATGTGTTGAGCTATGTGTAAACTTTGTTTTAGTTACAGACTTAAAGCAATTTGCTATGCAAAACATAAGCATTGTTCTGAAAAATAACTAATATGTAGATAGATAGATTTATCTTTACAACTTATAACTAGGAGTTTTATACCCAGTGGGTTTTGTTACAAGGTATTTTATCCTGTTAGTAAATATTTTCCTTTAATTCTATACTAAGCAGAAAATTCTTTATGGTTGGAGTGGATGCAAAAGTGACACATAATAGTTTAAAAGGCAACTAAATTTGTTTTACAGGCAGCTTAGGCATCTTTGTACCCCTTCTTGATTTGGAGGGTTTGACCATGACCTAATTTTATACCTCAAAACCAGCCCTTACAATCTCATGTGCCTGCCTCTTCTACGACAGTCCCCGGGCCTAGAGAGAGGCTGTGTGTATAGTTTTAGCAGCAGAATATTCACAGGGAAACAGATCTGCGTCCAGTGGGATGGCAAATGAGGGAGAATAAAATCTGGTCTTCAGAATACCGTGATTTTGATTTCCTTGGAAGTAAAACAAAGAGAGATGAATAACATTTATACTTCGACAATTATAAGACTAACTTTTGTGTTAGAACAGACAAAGGAACCTATTTCAATAGGGTGCCAACTAAAAATATGAAGAAAAATTATAATCTGGTACACTCTAAAGGATTATTGTAGCCAAGAAATAATTCATGATATAATCTGCACATAAAGAAACAAAGTTAGTGTCGAAATCTTGTACCAACGGTTACACTTTTCCTTATGAAACAATTTATTTAGCCCCTTTCTTTTCTACTAAAGGGAAATTATATTAAGACCCATTTCTATGTTATAGGCTTATTATGCTTGGCCTGATTATTTGCATAAAATGCAGCAAGAATTGATTGGCCATATAGGCTCGTTTTAAGTTGGCTGTGATGGAACTTTACCTAAAAATATGCTATTTTAGTTAAAGCCTTGGTAAAATAACCAGTGTTTTCAATTGTTCTGTTTTAAAAGACTCTTATTGAACTTATGCAAATACCTATATTGTCATAAAGTCACGATCTGAAATTTGGAGAACTCAGAGAGAAAAGTAATTCGTTACAAAAAAAAATACTTTACCCAAATAACTTAAAAGTAAAGATTTTCCTGACGCTTCTTTAAATAGAGCAGTGGCTTTTAAACAAAATGTTTGTTTACGTTGGAAATGGCATTCACAAGCCAAGCAGTTCGTGAGAGCTATCAGACATTTTAGAAACTAGCAGCTCCTCACAGAATTAGAATTAGTCCTAGGAGAGAGGCCCCCTGCTTATCAGTAACTCCTCCTTATATTCCCAGGTAGCAAGATTCTATGTAAATCATTTTTATTCTATTATGGAACTCTCTCAGGCACCACACAATGGAGTACTATTCAACCATTAAAAATGATATCCTGTCATTTGCAAAAACATAGATGAAACTTGAGGTCATTTTGTTAAGTGAAGTAAGCCAGACACAGAAAGACAAACTTTGCATGTTCTCACTTATTTGTGGGAGCTAAAACTTAAAACATTTGAACTCATGAAGATAGAGAGTAGATGAATGGTTACCAGAGATTGGGAATGGTTGTGGGTGAGTGGGGGTAAAGAGGGAATGGTTAATGGGTGCAAACAGTAGTTAGAAAGAGTGAATAAGACCTACTATTTGATATCACAACAAGAGGACTACAGTCAGTAATAATTTATTTTTACATTTAAAAATTAGTAAAAATGTATAATTACATTGTTTATACTATAAAGGATAAACGCTCGAGGGATGAAGATCCCATTTACTGTGAGGTGATTATTACGCATTGCATGCCTGTATCAAAGTATCTCATATACCCTATACATATATTTACCTACTTTGTGCCGACAAAAATTAAAAATAAACACAATTTTAAAAGTAAAGAGTAATGCACCAATCATCCTTTATGAGGTAGGGGTAAGTTGTGGAGTTAAAATTTGATATTAACTAATTTACTGCCAAGAACCTCTAAGTTCAAAGGCTAATATAGTATGGTCCTTGTGCTCAAGGAGCTTGACATCTAACAAAGAAAAAAAAAAGACATATTTTTAAATTTGGTACAATAAAATAAAAACTGCTAGAAGTATTAAATACTTCTAGAATTTACCTTTTAGTTCTCTAGATCTCTCTAACTTGAGAGTTTAGGTAAGAACATGTTCCTTTTGTCTGAATCATTAAACATTCCAAAACAAAGTATATCTATATTGCCATGTGTGTTTAAATAGCTTTTTGAAATTAAACTGCGGGTATTTTTTTTGATATGCTAGTATTGTTTTCCTAATCTGTTATCCAATGTAAACTTCAAAAAAGGATCTATATGCAGTCATATGCTGTATAATGATATTTCAGTGAACAATGATATGGTTTGGCTGTGTCCCAAATCTCATCTTGAATTGTAACTTCCACAATTCCCACGTGTAAAGTGAGGAACCCAGTGGGAGGTAGTTGAATCATGGGAGTGGATTTTTCCCATGCTGTTCTTGTGATAGAGAATAAGTCTCATGAGATCTGATGGTTTCAAAAAAAGGGAGGTTCCCTGCATAAGCTTTCCTCTTTGCCTGCTGCCATCCATGTAAGACATGACTTGTTCCTCCTTGTCTTTCACCATGATTGTGAGGCCTCCCCAGCCACGTGGAACTATAAGTCTATTAAACCTCTTCCTTTTGAAAGTTGCCCAGTCTCGGGTATGTCTTTATCAGCAGTGTGAGAACAGACTAATACAACAGTGTTTCAAGGAGAAGGATACTTTTAGTTATTATGCTCAGGATTAAAAGATTACTTTGGTTTTCTTTGATTAACATACCATTTCCATTATAGTATGAGAAATCCGAGATCAAAATGGGATTAACACCCATCCAGTGGGGCTTCCATATGAAACCACCTACAATCTTAACATGGAGTTTTCAAAAGGAATAAATCAATGAAATAGATGTAAAATATACTTCTGTGTTTATAAATCAAATCTAAAAATGGACTTGAGCATTATGACATCCCAGTATAAAGAAATTTTTGTGGATATGTGTGACTGATTTTAGTCATTGTTAATATTCTTATAAACCTTTAGAAGAACATTTCTTTCATATTCAGGTTGCTGTATAACATGAAAACTTTGAGTTATGACTACCAAGCCCAGGAGGATGCAAAGAAAAGAACCAGCTAGAGTGTAGTGCATACTGATGACTATCCCACTCTCCAGTCCTTTTTCATATCGGCCTGTAGAGGGAGTATTGGTAGTGTCCTCAGAGGCTTTTCTAGCTTTTGTAGCACATGCTTTTCCAAACTCTCAATAGGACAGTTGGAGAGTGAGATTAAAAATCAAATTATAAATTTTTATTTAAGTTTTTGAATTGTACAGGGAATTGTACATTTGAAGTCTATCAAATATTTTAACTCCAATTAATTAACTTTTTATTCAAAACCTATAAACAACTGCATTTTTTCATGCCAACCATGAAAAGTTTAAGCTAACAATACACGTTTTGTTTACTTATCCAAAGTTTCAGTAGAAATAGTATAAGAGCAAAGAATGTTGGATAGATAATTAATTAACAAATAGTACCATGGGGAAATATTAAAATCTACTGTTTATCTCCTATATTGACATATTTACATCTGTGTGTGTGTGTGTTTGTGTGTGTGTGTGAATGTGTGTGTATGGAAATGAAACATTTAGTTGATAAGTGAGGAATATCTATTTAACTTTTAATATTAAGCAAATGGTTCACACTGTCTAGACAGTACTTATTGAATAATCATGCATAATCACCAAAATGATTCAAAAGCAATGAAATCCAAATGTTAAATTATTGCACAAATAATTGCTAAGATTGATTTTTTAAATTGATTTTTAAATCATTGTGTTTCACATCTGTTTTCTATTCAGTTTTGACTTTAATATATTTCTCCCTCTGTATATATTCTACCAGATATTCTCCAATAAGTTAGGTATCATATTTAGCAGTTTATTTTACCTTGGTCTTCTAGTCAGGCTCTCTCTTTCACTGATTTTGCATTCCACTGCAATAGTTTTTCCCTGTTTACTCAGTTATCTCATACTACTCCTTTAGCTCTTAAGTGAGAGTCCATTGTGAAAACTTTCCTTTGGCTTTTGACTAGGTAAAATCTCTATTTTATGTTGCCATAGTACCATTTTCCTCCACTTCATTGCAATTTTTACAGTTCTAATTATATATTTATTAGTAATGATTAATAATTAATTGGTAATTTTATTAATGTCATTTCTCCTAAGAAGATGGTCAGCCACATGAAACGAACTTTACCTATTTTGGCCCTACATTGTTTGTTTTTTCTTCTCCTGTCACAGTGCCTGATATGAAGGAGGCACTCAAATAGGTATGAAAATAAGGGGGGAGGGAGGAAAAGAAAGAAGGAAGGAATGGAGGGAGGAAGGTAGGGAAAAGTAGAAGGAGGGAGGAAATGCCATAATAAAGCTTCTTGTTCAGCTGGAGTAGAATTAAACAGACTTCATTTCCTCTCTTTGAACATACAGATGAATAATTATAATGCCTCTTAATTTTTTATTTTATAAGTAGCATTGGTTAATCAGTAGTCATCTGTAGGGCCGGGTAGTTGCCCAGAAAAACTTCCTAAACTAAGAGAAAAAAAAGAAATTTTTACTTCTTGATCTCAGGATTTAGTGATTCAACAGGAATTCAAGGGAGGTGCTTATGTATGTGGGTACATTTTACTAAAGAGTAGTGAACATCACATTGGAAATCATGTTCACTATTTGGATGAAGCTGGTTCTTACTCATATAAGAAAGGTTGACTCTGGGTGCAAAGTAATAAAATATTTCTCCAACTCCTTTGTATGAAAACATTGTGGAATAGGAGATGTAACACACATAGCTAGATGAGAGAGATCCAATCCACTTCCAAATCCTCAGCAATTCTTCTTCTCTTTTTGGGGATTAGTTGGTTGTTCCACTAGTAATCAAAATTCAGATGGAGATTGAAACTTTTGTTTCAATATTTCTGAATGTTGTTCAGGTACCCCTTTGGTTTAAAAATTCTTACTCAAGTTTTACCTTGACAACTCTACTTTTTTTTTAATGTATTTCCCTGTGGAAATTATACATTTATTTTAGTAATCATTCATTTACTTTTTGCATTTATGTGTTATTTTAAATGTAACTAAAAATCTTTTTACTCTCATCAATCATAACACTGCTTTTTCTTTATGAATTACAGTAAAATATTAATTGGATGTGGATGTAGGGGTGGAGGTGGAGAGTGGGTGTTGACAAAGAATAAAAATGCATAGCATATATTTTATGAATGATCAAATTGAATAGAACTTGAGAAAGAGATGTCAAGATGCATAGCTCATTTTCTTAAGCATTTTCTTCATATGTTCTCTTTCTATTTCAAATGTAATTTAATGCGGAGATGATTACAATGTGCAGGAAAACATAAGCTCCCTAAGCAAAGCCAAATGATATTGACTAAGCGTTGTGTCACTGGAAGCAGACATTTACACTCTCTGATGTTTTAATTTTTCATTTAATTTTTTGATAATGCAGCACAGTTGCTTCTCTCTGTCTCAGACAGGAAATAGAAAATATGAGAAGCTAAATTGTTAGAGGGTTTGTATCTACTTACCAGGGTTATTTAAAAAAAATACTTCCTCTATTTTTTTTATATCCCAAAGTCAGAGGCCTCCCAGGATAATAAAAGAGATGTAATTGACTTATTATCTGTCAAAAATAAAATACAGTTAGTCATACAATATTAAATCTAAAAGAATTGTAAATCCTAAAATGATATTACTTATAATCATGTTCTCATTTACCTTGGATATATAAATATGCAGTTCCATGCTCTATCTTTTCCTATTTCCTGCACTCTGATCAATGTCTCTATGACCTACTGCTATATAGAACACATCTATTTCATGAACATTTATTTGGGTTATCAAATAAAGTAAATAAAAAAAAATTTTTATTCTAAAAGCATCCAGTTGATCTTATAAAAGTCAAACTACCTATTGCAAGGCTTCCAATTGTTTGATTTCCAAAATTGAGGCTAATGTTCAAATCTTCCCCACTTTTAGCAATTTAGAAAGTTTTATTTTGTTTGTGTCAATTTGAATCACTTGAATTTATAACTCAGAATTTTAGCTTGGAAGGTTGTATGCCTTTGCTATTTTTATTTCTTCCAATATTAAAGGGCTTTTAAATCAGTGTTTTTATGGTTAATCAATATGGTTTTATTAGATATGTGATTACACCTAGAGAGTAATAAGAAGGAGAAAAAAACTAGAAAAAGGAATCACAGCCACTTTTGAAATTACCACTTACACAAAAATAAAAATAAGGATTGGTATCACAATTTTACTGCCTGCTGTGATGATGATGAACATACAATGAGTAGCACCCTTCTTTACACAACGCCTGTTATGTGTCATGTACTGTGCACTCAGTATCCATTATAGATAGGCATTATTATTATTTACCAGTCAAGAATCTAGATAATTAAGACCTTAGTCCCCCAACTGGTAACTGGCTAAAATTAAACCCAATTTTGTTATGCATCAATGCCCACTCTCACTGTTTCTGCACTGCACTGGTAGAGTAAGGTGTAACCATGATACAACGTTTAAATCCCTCCGTAGCTCAAATCAGATGAACCTGTACCCTCTTGTAAAGAATTCTGTTTTGTCACTCTACTCACATGTCCAAATGAAAACTGTATACTTGGTGGAAACAATTCACAGGGTGGCTTAATTCTTCAAATTCTTCAAGTAGGTAATGGTTTCCTTCATGCAGGTTATTTTTTGCCACCATACCAGAGAATCTATATGTATTTGTAACACAGGGTTAAAAACCAATATTGGTCAGCTTGGGATTTAGTTTTGTTTTTGAGTTATAGAAGAAACTTTGTAACAATCAAGGTCAGAAGCCAAGAAAGGCAATACAGTCTATTTATCACAACACAGCTCACTTTAGTGATCTCTCCTACAATGTTACAGGGTAACACTGAGAGCACTTGTGATTTTGACCTATCTTAAGGGTATATTTTGATAATGCTCCCTATTAGAAAATTTTGCTTTAGTAAAAAATTTTTACAAACTGTTAGTGACTTTTGAGTAGCTCAAGTACCAGGACTTCTAGACATCTATTACAAAAAAAAACACGGGTAAATGTTGATTGATTCTGCAACAAGCCAAAAGTAGGAGGCACAGAGCTGCCTAGAAACCTAGATAACTTCTTGTAGCCCATTCTGATGCTATGATTTCACGAGTCTGTGGTAATGGTAATGAGGATGATTTTTGTTTTTTCAACTACCAAATCAAAACCATTACAGAACACATTCTGAAATTTCCTAGATGATGAAACTTAAAGTTTGATTAAATTGAGAATTGTTAAATAGTGGCTAGAGGGCATGCGGCACAGTTAGACAAAGAGTAAATCTTTTATATATATATATATATATATAATTTTACTTTAAGTTATAGGATACATGTGCACAACGTGCAGGTTTGTTACATATGTATACATGTGCCATGTTGGTGTGCTGCACCCATTAACTCGTCATTTACATTAGGTATATCTCCTAATGTTATCCCTTCCACCTCCCCCTACCCCACAAAAGGCCCCGGTGTGTGATGTTCCCAATCTTAAGTTAGAGTTTACTATCCTCCTCAAAAGAGGATGTAGGGTTATAGTTGTGTTGTTGATACACACACGTGTGTGCACACACACACACACATATGTATATATAATGCCAGGTCTTTATTTTCCTGATGCCTGATTAGTGCCACAGAATAAAATGTGAAGATTCTTTAACAGAAAGTTCAAAGTATGTTCAAAGTTATGAAATTATTTAAACATTTTGTCTATATTCATTACATTAAACTAAAGGGGAAAACTGATCTAGATTCCAAGTTAGGCCATTCTATAGAAAAGAAAGAACATAGGAAATGATTCAATGATTTAATTTTTTTGATCATAGTATCTTAGCTTTACATCAGAGTGCCTGTTATGTGCTAGTTGGAATGGAAGGAGGATGCAAATATGAATTAGAGGGGACTCTTACCTATGAGGAGCTCACAGTATAGCAAAAATTATAAGAAAAATGACACGTTTTCACTTAGCGAGCACTCAAATTACAGATACTCCTCAACTTATAATGGGGTTACATTTTGATAAATACATCATAAGTTGGAAATACTGTAAGTCAAACTTGCATTTAACACACCTAATCTAGTGAACATCATAGCTTAGCTTAGCCTACCTTAAACATGCTCAGAACATTTACATTAGTCTATAGTAGAGCAAAATCATCCAACACAAAGCTATTTTAAAATAAAGTGTTGAGTAACTCATGTAATTTATCAAATGCTGTACTGAAAGTTAAGAAAAAATTGCTGAATTATGGTTTCTACTGAATGTCTATTGAATTTTCATCATCATCAAGTAAAAAAAAAATAAGTTGAACCATCCTCAGTCAGGGATTGTCTGTATATCCTTTCAGTGTGCTTTATCTGGAGACAATCTTGGAAAGCACAGTGAAACCATTTTTTTTAATTCAATGGTTTATTAACTAAAACTGTAGCCAGAAAAATGACTCAATACTCCTTTCTTTAGGGCCCAGATTAAGTTAGTTTATAAATCTTTCACGAAGTATTCCCTATTTCCAAATAAAACTACTTTTTATTTTAATTTCTATATTGCATATTGCCTAAACAACTTCTCTATAAATTATATGCTACTTTGTGCCATTATTTACACCTTTATGAATAAAATTTTCTGTATTAGAATATAAGCTAAATGAGAGTAAGGGTTTATTTTGTGTGTTTGTACAGAAAGGGTTCAACAAAATTTGTTAAATGAATGAATAAAGTAAGTAAAGGAGGTGTTTTATTATTTGTTAAATAGCTTCACAAATAATTCATTCTGATTATTCTGTTTTAATTGGCCAAGATACTTCTTACAATTGGGCTAATTCTGTTTCTTTTTTCTCTTGCTTTGAAGCAGTACAAAACAAGCAGACACCCATGGCCTTTCCATGTCTAAGGTGAGTCTAATCTAAATATCCATGAATTATACTTAAAATTATGACTGATTAAATGTGCTGAGAATCCTATAACAAAATGATAGCTTTCTTAATATTTGCTTTGAATCAACATTGTTACTAGCTCCTTTGCTAATTGGTTGAGTGCTTTCTAGATTTAAAAAAACACTAAGTAAGGTGGGATTTTGCATAGATATGCATACACACACAAATACACACATCAACACCCCAAGTTAGACTAGACAGAAAACAACCCCTTAGACAGTCCCTCAAAAGCCTGGAGCATTAGATGTGCATGCTTCAGTCTTCTTTTTTTTTTTTTCTGTTTTTTTTTTTGTTTTGTTTTTTGGTTTTTTTAAGATTTTCTTTGATTTTTTTTTCTTTTTTAATTATTATTATACTTTAAGTTTTAGGGTACATGTGCACAATGTGCAGGTTAGTTACACATCTATACATGTGCCATGCTGGTGTGCTGCACCCATTAACTCATCATTTAGCATTAGGTATATCTCCTAATGCTATCCTTCCCCCCTCCCCCCACCCCACAACAGTCCCCAGAGTGTGATGTTCCCCTTCCTGTGTCCATGTGTTCTCATTGTTCAGTTCCCATCTATGAGTGAGAACATGCGGTGTTTGGTTTTTTGTCCTTGAGATAGTTTACTGAGAATGATGATTTCCAATTTCATCCATGTCCCTACAAAGGACATGAACTCATCATTTTTTATGGCTGCATAGTATTCCATGGTGTATATGTGCCACATTTTCTTAATCCAGTCTATCATTGTTGGACATTTGGGTTGGTTCCAAGTCTTTGCTATTGTGAATAGTGCCGCAGTAAACATACGTGTGCATGTGTCTTTATAGCAGCATGATTTATAGTCCTTTGGGTATATACCCAGTAATGGGATGGCTGGGTCAAATGGTATTTCTAGTTCTAGATCCCTGAGGAATCGCCACACTGACTTCCACAATGGTTGAACTAGTTTATAGTCCCACCAACAGTGTAAAAGTGTTCCTATTTCTCCACATCCTCTCCAGCACCTGTTGTGTCCTGACTTTTTAATGATTGCCATTCTAACTGGTGTGAGATGGTATCTCATTGTGGTTTTGATTTGCATTTCTCTGATGGCCAGTGATGATGAGCATTTTTTCATGTGTCTTTTGGCTGCATAAATGTCTTCTTTTGAGAAGTGTCTGTTCATGTACTTCGCCCACTTTTTGATGGGGTTGTTTGTTTTTTTCTTGTAAATTTGTTTGAGTTCATTGTAGATTCTGGATATTAGCCCTTTGTCAGATGAGTAGGTTGCGAAAATTTTCTCCCATTTTGTAGGTTGCCTGTTCACTCTGATGGTAGTTTCTTTTGCAGTGTAGAAGCTGTTTAGTTTAATTATATCCCATTTGTCAATTTTGGCTTTTGTTGCCATTGCTTTTGGTGTTTTAGACATTAAGTCCTTGCCCATGCCTATGTCCTGAATGGTAATGCCTAAGTTTTCTTCTAGGGTTTTTATGGTTTTAGGTCTAATGTTTAAGTCTTTAATCCATCTTGAATTAATTTTTGTATAAGGTGTAAGGAAGGGATCCAGTTTCAGCTTTCTACATATGGCTAGCCAGTTTTCCCAGAACCATTAACTAAATAGGGAATCCTTTCCCCATTGCTTGTTTTTCTCAGATTTGTCAAAGATCGGATGGTTGTAGATATGCGGCGTTATTTCTGAGGGCTCTGTTCTGTTCCATTGATCTATATCTCTGTTTTGGTACCAGTACCATGCTGTTTTGGTCACTGTAGCCTTGTAGTATAGTTTGAAGTCAGGTAGGGTGATGCCTCCAGCTTTGTTCTTTTGGCTTAGGATTGACTTGGTGATGTGGGCTCTTTTTTGGTTCCATAAGAACTTTAAAGTAGTTTTTTCCAATTCTGTGAAGAAAGTCATTGGTAGCTTGATGGGGATGGCATTGAATCTATAAATTACCTTGGGCAGTATGGCCATTTTCATGATATTGATTCTTCCTACCCATGAGCATGGAAAGTTCTTCCATTTGTTTGTATCCTCTTTTACTTCATTGAGCAGTGGTTTGTAGTTCTCCTCGAAGAGGTCCTTAACATCCCTTGTAAGTTGGATTCCTAGGTATTTTATTCTCTTTGAAGCAATTCTGAATGGGAGTTCACTCATGATTTGGCTCTCTGTCTGTTATTGGTGTATAAGAATGCTTGTGATTTTTGTACATTGATTTTGTATCCTGAGACTTTGCTGAAGTTGCTTATCAGCTTAAGGAGATTTTGGGCTGAGACAATGGGGTTTTCTAGATATACAATCATGTCATCTGCAAACAGGGACAATTTGACTTCCTCTCTTCCTAATTGAATACCCTTTATTTCCTTCTCCTGCCTAATTGCCCTGGCCAGAACTTCCAACACTATGTTGAATAGGAGTGGTGAGAGAGGGCATCCCTGTCTTGTGCCAGTTTTCAAAGGGAATGCTTCCAGTTTTTGCCCATTCAGTATGATGTTGGCTGTGGGTTTGTCATAGATAGCTCTTATTATTTTGAGATACATCCTATCAATATCTAATTTATTGAGAGTTTTTAGCATGAAGGGTTGTTGAATTTTGTCAAAGGCCTTTTCTGCATCTATTGAGATAATCATGTGGTTTTTGTCTTTGGCTCTGTTTATATGCTGGATTACATTTATTGATTTGCGTATATTGAACCAGCCTTGCATCCCAGGGATGAAGTCCACTTGATCATGGTGGATAAGCTTTTTGATGTGCTGCTGGATTTGGTTTGCCAGTATTTTATTGAGGATTTTTGCATCAATGTTCATCAAGGATATTGGTCTAAAATTCTCTTTTTTGGTTGTGTCTCTGCCTGGCTGTGGTATCAGGATGATGCTGGCCTCATAAAATGAGTTAGGGAGGATACCCTCTTTTTCTATTGATTGGAATAGTTTCAGAAGGAATGGTACCAGTTCCTCCTTGTACCTCTGGTAGAATTCAGCTGTGAATCCATCTGGTCCTGGACTCTTTTTGGTTGGTAAGCTATTGATTATTGCCACAATTTCAGATCCTGTTATTGGTCTATTCAGAGATTCAACTTCTTCCTGGTTTAGTCTTGGGAGAGTGTATGTGTCAAGGAATGTATCCATTTCTTCTAGATTTTCTAGTTTATTTGTGTAGAGGTGTTTGTAGTATTCTCTGATGGTAGTTTGTATTTCTGTGGGATCGGTGGTGATATCCCCTTTATCATTTTTTATTGCATCTATTTGATTCTTCTCTGTTTTTTTCTTTATTAGTCTTGCTAGCAGTCTATCAATTTTGTTGATCCTTTCAAAAAACCAGCTCCTGGATTCATTAATTTTTTGAAGGGTTTTTTGTGTCTCCATTTCCTTCAGTTCTGCTCTGATTTTAGTTATTTCTTGCCTTCTGCTAGCTTTTGAATGTGTTTGCTCTTGCTTTTCTAGTTCTTTTAATTGTGATACTAGGGTGTCAATTTTGGATCTTTCCTACTTTCTCTTGTGGGCATTTAGTGCTATAAATTTCCCTGTACACACTGCTTTGAATGTGTCCCAGAGATTCTGGTATGTTGTGTCTTTGTTCTCATTGGTTTCAAAGAACATATTTATTTCTGCCTTCATTTCGTTGTGTACCCAGTAGTCATTCAGGAGCAGGTTGTTCAGTTTCCATGTAGTTGAGCAGTTTTGAGTGAGTTTCTTAATCCTGAGTTCTAGTTTGATTGCACTGTGGTCTGAGAGACAGTTTGTTATAATTTCTGTTCTTTTACATTTGCTGAGGAGAGCTTTACTTCCAAGTATGTGGTCAATTTTGGAATAGGTGTGGTGTGGTGCTGAAAAAAATGTATATTCTGTTGATTTGGGGTGGAGAGTTTTGTAGATGTCTATTAGGTTCACTTGGTGCAGAGCTGAGTTCAATTCCTGGGTATCCTTGTTAACTTTCTGTCTCATTGATCTGTCTAATGTTGACAGTGGGGTGTTAAAGTCTCCCATTATTATTGTGTGGGAGTCTAAGTCTCTTTGTAGGTCACTCAGGACTTGCTTTATGAATCTGGGTGCTCCTGTATTGGGTGCATATATATTTAGGATAGTTAGCTCTTCTTGTTGAATTGATCCCTTTACCATTATGTAATGGCCTTCTTTGTCTCTTTTAATCTTTGTTGGTTTAAAGTCTGTTTTATTAGAGACTAGGATTGCAATCCCTGCCTTTTTTTGTTTTCCATTTGCTTGGTAGATTTTCCTCTATCCTTTTATTTTGAGCCTATGTGTGTCTCTGCACGTGAGATGGGCTTCCTGAATACAGCACACTGATGGGTCTTGATTCTTTATCCAATTTGCCAGTCTGTGTCTTTTAATTGGAGCATTTAGTCCATTTACATTTAAAGTTAATAGTATTATGTGTGAATTTGATCCTGTCATTATGATGTTAGCTGGTTATTTTGCTTGTTAGTTGATGCAGTTTCTTTCTAGTCTCGATAGTCTTTACAGTTTGGCCTGATTTTGCATCAGCTGGTACTGGTTGTGCTTTTCCATGTTTAGTGCTTCCTTCAGGAGCTCTTTTAGGGCAGGCCTGGTGGTGACAAAATCTCTCAGCATTTGCTTGTCTGTAAAGTATTTTATTTCTCCTTCACTTATGAAGCTTAGTTTGGCTGGATATGAAATTCTGGTTGAAAATTCTTTTCTGTAAGAATGTTGAATATCGGCCCCCACTCTCTTCTGGCTTGTAGAGTTTCAGCCGAGAGATCCGCTGTTAGTCTGAGGAGCTTCCCTTCGTAGGTAACCCGACCTTTCTCTCTGGCTGCCCTTAACATTTTTTCCTTCATTTCAACTTTGATGAATCTGACAATTCTGTGTCTTGGAGTTGCTCTTCTCGAGGAGTATCTTTGTGGCGTTCTCTGTATTTCCTGAATCTGAATGTTGGCCTGCCTTGCTGGATTGGGGAAGTTCTCCTGGATAATATCCTGCAGAGTGTTTTCCAACTTGGTTCCATTCTCCCCGTCACTTTCAGGTACACCAATCAGACGCAGATTTGGTCTTTTCACATAGTCCCATATTTCTTGGAGGCTTTGCTCTTTTCTTTTTATTCTTTTTTCTCTAACCTTCCCTTCTCACTTCATTTCATTCATTTCATCTTCCATCACTGTTACCCTTTCTTCCAGTTGATCACATCGGCTCCTGAGGCTTCTGCATTCTTCACGTAGTTCTCGAACCTTGGCTTTCAACTCCATCAGCTCCTTTAAGCACTTCTCTGTATTGTTTATTCTAGTTATACATTCTTCTAAATTTTTTTCAAAGTTTTCAACTTCTTTGCCTTTGGTTTGAATTTCCTCCTGTAGCTCGTAATAGTTTGATCATCTGAAGCCTTCTTCTCTCAGCTCATCAAAGTCATTCTGTGTCCAGCTTTGTTCCATTGCTGGTGAGGAACTGTGTTCCTTTGGAGGAGGAGAGGTGTTCTGCTTTTTAGAGTTTCCAGTTTTTCTGCTCTGTTTTGTCCCCATCTTTGTGGTTTTATCTACTTTTGGTCTTTGATGATGGTGATGTACAGATGGGTTTTTGGTGTGGATGTCCTTTCTGTTTGTTAGTTTTCCTTTTAACAGACAGGACCCCCAGCTGCAGGTCTGTTGGAGTTTGCTAGAGGTCCACTCCAGGACCTGTTTGTCTGGGTATCAGCAGCGGTGTCTACAGAACCGCAAATTTTCCTGAACCGCGAATGCTGCTGTCTGATTGTTCCTCTGGAAGTTTTGTCTCAGAGGAGTACCCGGCCGTGTGAGGTGTCAGTCTGCCCCTACTGGGGGGTGCCTCCCAGTTAGGCTGCTTGGGGGTCAGGGGTCAGGGACCCACTTGAGGAGGCAGTCTGCCCATTCTCAGATCTCCAGCTGCGTGCTGGGAGAACCACTGCTCTCTTCAAAGCTGTCAGGCAGGGACATTTAAGTCTGCAGAGGTTACTGCTGTCTTTTTGTTTGTCTGTGCCCTGCCCCCAGAGGTGGAGCCTACAGAGCCAGGCAGGCCTCCTTGAGCTGTGGTGGGTTCCACCCAGTTGGAACTTCCCAGCTGCTTTGTTTACCTAAGCAAGCCTGGGCAATTGTGGGCCCCCCTCCCCCAGCCTCGCTGCCACCTTGCAGTTTGATCTCAGACTGCTGTGCTAGCAATCAGCGAGACTCCGTGGGCGTAAGACCCTCCGAGCCACGTGCAGGATATAATCTCCTGGTGCGCCGTTTCCTAAGCCCGTCGGAAAAGTGCAGTATTCGGGTGAGAGTAACCCGATTTTCCAGGTGCCATCTGTCACCCCTTTCCTTGACCAGGAAAGGGAACTCCCTGACCCCTTCCGCTGCCTGAGTGAGGCAATGCCTCGCCCTGCTTTGGCTCGCGCACGGCGCGCTGCACCCACTGTCCTGCACCCACTGTCTGGCACTCCCTAGTGAGATGAAACTGGTACCTCAGATGGAAATGCAGAAATCACCCGTCTTCTGCGTTGCTCACGCTGGGAGCTGTAGACTGGAGCTGTTCCTATTCTGCCATCTTGGCTCCTCCCCCCCAGTCTTCTTTTGCCCCCTGAGAAAGAGGCCAAACAAGCTCAATGGGCCCTCTAAAACAGCAGGATGCTGCCTGGATCTTTTGACTGCACTGGTCTCCAGGAATCTAGAGTATGCTGTCAGTGCTCCAAGACAGGTTAAATACAAGCCAGTCACTCCAGAAGCCTCCCCAAAAAGTCACAATGTTAGTAACATGGTCCAGTCTTCTCTTTCCTTCTTTAATGAGAAGCTGGAAGCTAAAAGTTTCCTCCCTGTTGTGTGTCCTTGTGCTAGGGAGGGACTGAGGTGATAGACTACCACAAATTTTCCTACCATTTTCAATGTGGTTGGTATTGTGCTTGCTTGGGGGTGTAGGAGCCTCTTACCTGGTTTCTAAATGTCTCATAAAAGGAAATGATCAGACTATTATAGTTGAATTGGTGTTTCTGTAGGAAGAAGGAAGATCTAGGGCTTCTTACTCTGCCATCTTTCTAACATCCCTCTCCCCTCCAGACTTCCATATTGTTTTAATTAGTATATTGATGGTTAATATTGAATGTCAACTTGATTGGATTGAAAGATGCCAAGTATTTTTCCTAGGTTTGTCTGTGAGGGTGTTCCCAAGGGAGATAAACATTTGAATCAGTGGACTGGGAGAGGCAGACCCACCCTCAATCTGAGTGGGCATCATTTAATCAGCTGCCAGCACAGCTAGAGTAAAGCAGGTAGAAGAAATTGGAAAGATTAGACTTGCTGAGTCTTCTGGCCTTTATCTTTCTCCTGTGATAGATACTTCTTGCTCTATAATAACAGACTCCAGGCCGGGCGCGGTGGCTCACGCCTGTAATCCCAGCACTTTGGGAGGCCGAGGCGGGCGGATCACGAGGTCAGGAGAGCGAGACCATCCTGGCTAACACGGTGAAACCCCGTCTCTACTAAAAATACAAAAAATTAGCCGGGCATGGTAGTGGGCGCCTGTAGTCCCAGCTACTCGGGAGGCTGAGGCAGGAGAATGGCGTGAACCCGGGAGGCGGAGCTTGCAGTGAGCCGAGATCGCGCCACTGCACTCCAGCCTGGGCGACAGAGTGAGACTCCGTCTCAAAAAAAAAAAAAAAAACAAAAAAACCGACTCCAAATTTTTTGACTTTTCGACTCTTAGACTTACACCAGTTGTTTGCCAGGGGCTTTCAGGACTTTGGCCACAGACTGAAGGCTGCACTGTCAGCTCCCTACTTTTGAGGTTTTGGGACTTGAACTAATTCACTGTTGGCTTTGTTGCTCCTCAAGTTGCAGATGGCCTATCGTGGGACATTACCTTGTGATCATGTGAGTCAACTCTCCTTAATAAGCTCCCTTTCATATATACATATATCCTATTAATTCAGTTCCTCTAGAGAACCTTGACATATATATATATATATATATATAGAGAGAGAGAGAGAGAGAGAGAGAGAGAGAGAGTAAGTTTTGACATTGGGAAGTGTGACTCCTCTAATTCTATTCTTCTTATTCAAGTTTTTTTTTGGCTCTTTGAGGCTACTTGCAGTTTCATATGAATTTGATCATCAACTTTTTCATTTTTGCAAATAATACTGTTGGACTTTTGACATTAATTTTATTGAATATGTAGATTGCTGTTGGTGGTATTGACATCTTAACAATGTTAAGTCCCCTTGTTAATAAACATAAATATATTTTCATTTGTTTAGATGTTCTTTAATTTCTTGCATAAACCTCTTGCACATCTAATCACATTCTGGATTCTACTTCTTGAAGGATCTGGGCTAACATAAGTATCAAAAAAGTCTACCGGTTGAAAATAAATTTATTTATATTTCAATTTGGTTGCTTAATGAGCATTAGGTTTGGTTCTATTTTGTTCAAGACATGAGCTCCTTGATGGAAAGTGAGATTAACATTAAATTAAGTAATTGTGATAACCAGATCTGTGGTTTACATTTCACACATATTAATGTGTAATATTTCTCTTCAGTGACCTTGAATTTTTGTAAGTAAAATATAGACAAATTTTCATTCAGTTCACACAGGACTTGACAAATATTTCTGATGTGATAATTATCTAATTGTATTGTGATAATTTCATACTTTCTTCTACTATATTGTGAAATCCACAAAGTGGGAAAAAGCATCTTATCTTTATTTATATTCCTAATGCCTAGCAAAATCTCCAGGAAATAGTTGTTCTTCACAAATGTTTATTGAACGAAAAAGAATACTAAGCCCCAATAAGATTTAAATATTAATGCAAATTTGTCTTAAACATATCTAATACAGAAACTGGATAAATTATCTAAGAGAGATCACTGGAATTTAATAGAGTAGTGATAAGAAGCACTGAAAACAAAGAAAGAGAGAGAAGCAAGGCAGCTTTTTTTTGGCTGGGATCAGCTGGGAGTCTGGAGAGGCTCCCTACTGCAAGGAAAACATAAGTGAAAGACACACCCAGTGGTCCATAGTCCCACCACAGACTTCTACAATCCTAGCCATGGGAGAGCCTCTCAAGCCTCATAGGCCCTGAAATTAGCATAAAATGCTGCCTGGAGACTACATAAAGGCATTGCTCCAGAGACTGAGCTTATGCTGGGTCCCACAAACCTCTGAGTCCTAAGCAAATGAAGCATGGCACCATTTTGGGAACCTAGCCCCAATCAGACTACATCCAGCCCTGCTGCTCAACACCCTCTGCATCTCCACATTCCTGGAGCCCCATTGACATTTCTCACCCACATCTGTCACTGTCAGGGTTTGGCAGGAACCACTAGCAGTGACCTCATGCCACCTTGACCCCCAGCAGAGGAGAAGTGATACATTTTCATGCACCCTGAGAACAAATTTCCCTGCCTATAACCACCTGCATACTGCTGCAGCACTTAGGTTCAAGTGAAGTGTGCGACACTCAGCCAACTCCCTATGGCTGCTCCCACAGAAAGCAACCATGACCTCCCCCAGAAGCGGGGACATGGCACAGCTGCTACCCTCACAAGAGCATTTTGCCTGTGGCCTGGGGATCACCCTGTTCCTGCCTACCACACCCAGCACATGCATGCACCACCAGGTGGCCTGTCAGGGTGATTGTCCATCCCACTATTAACCCTGCAGAGCCCAAGCATGTCATCAAGAAGCCTGTAAATAACCCAGCCCTGTCTACCACTATTGGCGCCTGAGTACTCCTCCCATTGTCTGAAGTCATGCCCACTCAACCTGCTGCTAACATTACAGTTGGCATCCACCTGTATGTGCCACATGTGGGCCTGGGGACTAGACTGGCTAGCCCATCACAGTCAGCACCCATTCCAGTGTGGATAGTTTGGGTCCTGGAGCTTTTCCCACCACTACTACTGCCATCACCAATGCCACACTCACTGCCCAGAAGCTCATGAATCCACTTACTTGCCTGGCCCACCACTGCCATCCTAGGAAACTAAACAAGCAACATTGAGACCCAAGATCAGGATGCCTGAACCTACTAAAAACAGTGTCAGCATATATTACCCTGGGACCTAAGGACAGGTATGCTTAGTCCACCACTATCTGGGGCATAAAGGCAGGCCAACTTAGTGTCCCAGTTTTTAGCAAAACTTCACCACAGTTTCTACTATCAACCATACCCTAAGGTACTGAGGAAATAATAAGATACTACTGACACTGTTTACAAATGAAGAAATCACACAGAGACTACACTACTCCAACCCCATAGATACATCTTCAGGAAAAAGTCCTCTCCCAAATAAGTATATTTTTAAAATTGGAAGAAGCTACTATTACAGCAGATGCAAAAAATATTAATGTAAGGGCATGAGAAACATTAAAAAAGCAAATAAACATGACACTTCCAAAGGAACACAACAATCCTCCAGCAACAGACCTCAATCAAAAATAAATTTTAAAAATTATAGTAAAATAATTTAAAATGTTGGTACTAATTAAGTCCAGTAAGACACAAGAGAATACTAAAAATAAATACAAAGAAATGAAAAACAAATCCAGGATATGAATAAGAAATTTACCAAAGAGATAAATATCATTAAAACAACAAACAAACAGAAATTCTGAAATTAAAGAATACATGGCATGAAATACAAAATACATTTGAAAGCTTCAATATAGACTAGCTCAAGCTAAAGAAAGTATGTTGGAACTTGAAGACAGGTATTTTGAAATAAACCAGTCAGACAAAAATAAAGACAAAAGAATAAAAAAGATGAGCAAAATCTACATGACATATGGGACACCATAAAATGATCAAATATTGGTGTTACAGAAGGCAAAAAGAAAACAAGAGGTTTAGAAAGTCAATATAACAGGATTGCTGGCAAGATGGTCTAATGGGAACAGCTCCAGTCTGCAGCTCCCAGAGAGATCAACACAGAATGTGGGTGATTTCTGCATTTCCAACTGAGGTACTCGGTTAATCTCATTGAGACTGGTTAGACAGTGGGTGCAGCCCGCAGAGGGTGAGCCGAAGCAGGGTGGGTTGTCACCTCACCTGGGAAGCACAAGGGGTCAGGGAATCTTCTCCTTTACCCAAGGGAAGCCTTGAGGGACTAAACCTGAGGAATCATGCACTCTGGCCCAGATACTGTGCTTTTCCCATGGTCTTTGCAACCTGCAGACCAGGAGACCCCCTCCAGTGCCTACCTCACCAGGGCCCTGGGTTTCAAGCACAAAACTGGGCAGCCGTCTGGGCAGATACCAAACTAACTGCAGGAGATTTTGTTTTCCATACCACAGTGGCACATGGAATGCCAGCGAGACAGAATTGTTCACCCCCCTGGAAAAAAGTGCTGAAGCCAGGGAGCCAAGTGGTCTGGCTCAGTGGGTCCTACCCCCACGGAGCCCAGGAAACTAAGATCCACTTGCTTGAAATTCTCCCTGCCAGCACAGCAACAGCCTGAGATTGACCTGGGGTGCTCCAGCTTGGTTGGGGGAGGGGTGTCTGCCATTGCTGAGGCTTGAGTAGGCCGTTTAACCCTAAAAGTGTAAAAAAAGCCTTGGGGAAGTTCGAACTGGGCAGAGCCCACTGCAGCTGAGCAAGGCCACTGTGGCCAGACTGCCAGATTTCTTCTCTCTGGACAGGGCATCTCTGATCAAAAGGCAGCAGCCTCAGTCAGGGACTATAGATAAAACCCCCATCTCCCTGGAACAGAAATAATGGGCAAAATAACCAGGTAGCATCATAATGACAGGATCAAATTAACACATAACAATATTAACCTGAAATGTAAATGGCCTAAATGCTCCAATTAAATGACACAGACTGGCAAATTGGATAGAGTCAGGACCGATCAGTGTGCTGTATTCAGGAGACCTAACTCACATACAAAGACATACATAGGCTCAAAATAAAGGGATGGAGGAATATTTACCAAGAAAATGGAAAACCAAAAAAAAAAAAAAGTAGAAGTTGCAATCCTAATCTCTGATAAAACAGAATTTAAACCAAAAAAGATCAAAAGAGACAAAGAGGAGCATCACATAATGGTAAAGGGATCAATGAAACAAGAAGAGCTAACTATCCTAAATATATATGTACCCAATACAGGAGCACCTAGATTCGTAAAGCAAGTTCTTAGAAACCTACAAAGAGACTTAGACTCCCACACAATAATAGTGGGAGACTTTAACATCCCACTGTCAATATTAGACATATCAATGAGACAGAAAATTGACAAGGATATTCAGGACTTGAACTCAGCTCTGGACCAAGCAGGCATAATAGACATTTACAGAACTCTCCGCCCCAGGTCAACAGAATATACATTCTTCTCGGCACCTCATCACAATTATTCTAAAATTGACCACATAATTGGAAGTAAAACACTCCTCAGCAAATGCAATATGATGGAAATCATAACAAACTGTCTCTCAGACCACAGTGCAATCAAATTAGAACTCAGGATTAAGAAACGTACTCAAAACTGCATAACTACATGGAAACTGAACAACCTGCTCCTGAATGACTACTGGGTAAATAACGAAATGAAGGCAGGTAAAAGATGTTATTTGAATACAATGAGAATGAAGATACAATATACCAGAATCTCTGGGACACATTTAAAGCAGTGTGTAGAGGGAAATTTATAGCACTAAATGCTCACAAGAGAAAAGATGAAAGATCTAAAATTGACACACTAACATCAAAATTAAAAGAACTAGAAAAGCAACAGCAAACAAATTCAAAAGCTAGCAGAAGACAAGAAATAACTAAGATCAGAGCAGAACTGAAGGAGATAGAGACACGAAAAACCTTTCAAAAAATCAATGAATCCAGAAGCTGGTTTTCTGACAAGATCAATAAAATAGATAGACCACTAGCCAGACTAATAAAGAAAAAAAGAGAGAAGAATCAAATAGACCCAATAAAAATGATATAGGGGATATCATCATTGATCCCACAGAAATAAAAGCTACCATCAGAGAATACTATAAGCACCTCTACACAAATAAACTAGAAAATCGAGAAGAAATGGATAAATTCCTGGACACATACACCCTCCCAAGACTAAAGCACGAAGAAGTCAAATCCCTGAATAGACCAATACCAAGTTCTGAAATTGAGGCAGTAACTAATAGCCTACCAATCAAAAGAAGTCCCGGACCAGATGGACTCACAGCTGAATTACACAAGAGATACCAAGAGGAGCTGGCACCATTCCTTCTGAAACTATTCCAAACAATAGAAAAAGAGAGACTCCTCCCTAACTCATTTTATGAGGCCAGCATCATCCTGATACCAAAACCTGGCAGAGACACAACAACATCAAAAAATTTCAGCCCAATATCCCTGATGAACATCCATGTGAAAATCCTCAACAAAATACTGGAAAACTGAATCCAGAAGCACATCATAAAGCCTATCCACCACGTTCAAGTTGGCTTCATACCTGGGATGCAAGGCTGGTTCAACATATGTAAATCACTAAACATAACCCATCACATAAACCGAACCAATGACAAAAACCACATGATTATCTCAATAGATGCAGAAATGGCCTTCAACAAAATTCAGCACCCCTTCATGCTAAAACCTCTCAATAAACTAGGTAGTGATGGAACGTAAGTCAAAATAATAAGGGCTATTTATGACAAACCCAAAGCCAATATCATAAAGAATGGGCAAAAACTGGAAACATTCCCTTTGAAAACTGGCACAAGACAGGGATGCCCTCTCTCACCACTCCTATTCAACATAGTGTTGGAAGTTCTGGCCAGGGCAATCAGGAAGGAGAAAGAAATAAAGGGTATTCAATTAGGAAAAGAAGAAGTCAAATTGTCCCTGTTTGCAGATGACATGTTATATATCTAGAAAACCCCATAATCTCAGCCCAAAATCTCCTTAAGCTGATAAGCAACTTCAGCAAAGTCTCAGGATACAAAATCAATGTGCAAGAATCACAAGCATTCTTATACACCAATAACAGACAAACAGAGAGCCAAATCGTGAGTGAACTCCCATTCACAATTGCTTCAAAGAGAACAAAATACCTAGGAATCCAACTTACAAGGGATGTGAAGGACCTCTTCAAGGAGAACTACAAACCACTGCTCAATGAAATAAAAGAGGATACAAACAAATGGAAGAACATTCCATGCTCATGGGCAGGAAGAATCAATATCATGAAAATGGCCATACTGCCCAAGGTAATTTATAGATTCAATGCCATCCCCATCAAGCTACCAATGCCTTTCTTCACAGAATTGGTAAAAACTACTTTAAAGTTCATACAGAACCAAAAAAAGAGCCGGCATTGCCAAGTCAATCCTAAGCCAAAAGAACAAAGCTGGAGGCATCACGCTACCTGACTTCAAACTATACTACAAGGCTACAGTGACCAAAACAGAATGGTACTGGTACCAAAACAGTCATATAGACCAATGGAACAGAACAGAGCCCTCAGAAATAATGCCACATATCTACAACTATCTGATCTTTGACAAACCTGAGAAAAACAAGAAATGGGGAAAGGATTCCCTATTTAATAATTGGTGCTGGGAAAACTGGCTAGCCATATGTAGAAAGCTGAAACTGGATCCCTTCCTTACACCTTATACAAAAATTAATTCAAGATGGATTAAAGATTTAAATGTTAGACCTAAAACCATAAAAACCCTAGAAGAAAACCTAGGCATTACCATTCAGGACATAGGCATGGGCAAGGACTTCATGTCTAAAACACCAAAAGCAATGGCAACAAAAGCCAAAATTGACAAATGGGATCTAACTAAACTAAACAGCTTCTGCACTGCACTGTTCATCAGAGTGAACAGGCAACCTACAGAATGGGAGAAAATTTTTGCTATCTACTCATCTGACTAAGGGCTAATATCCAGAATCTACAATGAACTCAAACAAATTCACAAGAAAAAAACACACAACCCCATCAACAAGTGGGTGAAGGATATGAACAGACACTTCTCAAAAGAAGACGTTTATGCAGCCAAAAGACCCATGATAAAATGCTCACCATCACTGGCCATCAGAGAAATGCAAATCAAAACCACAGTGAGATACCATCTCACAGCAGTTAGAATGGCGATCATTAAAAAGTCAGGAAACAACAGGTGCTGGAGAGGATGTGGAGAAATAGAAACTCTTTTACACTATTGGTGGGACTGTAAACTAGTTCAACCCTTTTGGAAGTCAGTGTGGCGATTCCTCAGGGATCTAGAACTAGAAATACCATTTGACCCAGCCATCCCATTACTGGGTATATACCCAAAGGACTATAAATCATGCTGCTATAAAACACATGTACACGTATGTTTATTGCGGCACTATTCACAATAGCAAAGACTTGGAACCAACCCAAATGTCCAACAATAATAGACTGGATTAAGAAAATGTGGCACATATACACCATGGAATACTATGCAGCCATAAAAAATGATGAGCTCATGTCCTTTGTAGGGAAATGGATGAAGCTGGAAACCATCATTCTCAGCAAACTATCGCAAGGACAAAAAACCAAACACTGCATGCTCTCACTCATAGGTGCGAATTGAACAATGAGAACACATGGACACAGGAAGGGGAACATCACACACCAGGGCCTGTTGTGGGGTGGGGGGAGGGGGGAGGGATAGCATTAGGAGATATGCCTAATGTTAAATGACGAGTTAATGGGTGCAGCACACCAACATGACACATGTATATATATGTAACAAACCTGCACGTTGTGCACATGTACCCTAAAACTTAAAGTATAATACAAAAAGAAGAAAATAAATAAATAAATAAATAAATAAATATTTGTTGATTACTTAGTTTTGTTAGAAGGAAAGCAGTTTTAGTTGGATGGGTTTGTATGAGTACCATTTGTTTTAGATTTGTTAGGGGAGACGTCTTCAAGTTGAACAGATTTCAGTTGTGTTTGCATATAGGGTCATGTTAACCAGTATAAAAGAGTATAGAAAGTCAACTGGGTGTGATTATAAGTGTGTAAAAGAGTTTAATGAAGAAAAGAATAAGCATTTGGTAATAAACTTGCAGCATAGGGTAATTTGCCACATAGGCTAAAAGACACTTTTTATATTGATAGTAAAGGAGTCAATAGCTGGTATGACTGCCTTTCCTACTCTGTATTGGATTACACCTGCAGCTGTCTCAATTGTTTTTGTCATTTTAGTGTCAGCATATTGGACTACTGAGTGCACTATATGATGGCAACAGCTGGACAACTGCTGGACTGCTGTGTCTAATTATTATAGCAGATGGCTCTGTCTTGACAATTAATTTTGAAATGTGTAACATGCTGAGGATACAAATTTTATCCTATTTATACCAGGATAAAGATTTAATAATTTTAAGATATAAGAATTTTAAAGGGCAATACATACCAATAAATAAGTGTTAAGGTAAAATAAGCACTTTTAACTGTCTATTGTCACAGCATTAAAAAAAATCCTGATAATGGAATCATCACTTTAAGTCCTGCTGTAACTAATCAATGCTATACTGACAATGATAGCTTTTGTCAAATTTGACTTTTTCCCCTCAATGGACTCTCAAGAGAGGAATTTGATGGAGGAAATAAGTTATTTTATTTCTATGTCATAAGAACTACTTCCTCTTGAACTGATTAAATAAACGTTTCTAATACACATCTGTATTTGATAAAAATTTGCCATTTCTCAGTGAGAAAATTGCTATAAAAGTTTAAGTGTGACAAATTTTACCTTAGTCGTAATGAAACTTTGATGGTATTAAACATCAATAAATCAAATACATCTCATTAGGTATGTTCGTTTCTAAATTATTCAAACTTACTCCACTATCATCACTCAACCTGTATCATTGAGTTCATGTTAATTTTAATACCAGAAACTGTCCAGTACTGGAAAGCAACATGTTTTAGTGGAAAGTACAGTGATTTAGGAGGCAAAAAAAATGGTTTTAATCATGTATGTTGATAATGGCCTTTTAATAAGAAATAACACTGCTGAATTTTAGTTTTCTAATCAGTAAGATAAGAATAACATCAACCCAGTTTTCAGGTTCTTTTTTCTGATTATTAAATGAAGTAACAACAATGAAAACACTTTGAAAATGTAAATAAGAACATAAATATAGAAATAATATTTTCTCATTATGTTATTTGGGCAATTTCTACTTTCAGATCGGAAAAATCACTTAACTATGCTCCTTCTTTGGAAGGAGGTATCAACACATCTGAATCTTGAAAGAAATTGAAAATTTCTTGGCCTCTGTATTCACTTGCATGTTGAATTGCATTCAACATGGTTCTCAGTAGTGAGGTATGTTTATTACTTACTTGAACAAAAGGCCTTTTACTACACACGCACACACACACACAAATAATTCTAAAATCCTTATAGACTTAGCAATCTGACAGTCTTACAGATGTGTAGATCTTAAAATCATAGACTTCTCTGGTAAGAAAGAACCTTCATAGTTATGTAATCTTTTCTGTAACATACATAACTTGTGTTTCAGTCTGGGTTCAAATGTCTAAAGTAACATAGCATTTACTTTCTGAGATAAATATTAGAAAAAGCTTATTTATATTGACTCAAAAATTGCCTATGTACATCTTCTACCCACTGGGTTCCTGGCTTTCCTGAAGACCACACAGGATACTCTAATCCCTTTTCTCCATGACAGCCTTTAAGTTATTGGAAATTTGCTCTCAGGACCATCCAATTTTCTTTATTTTAGGTTAAACTTTTTATGTTACTTTAAATGCTTTTCTTGTAACACAGTTTAGTTTACAGGGAAGCAAGTGCAGTGGTCCCAAGAAGAGGCAGTGAGAACCTAACTTAGGGTGCTTGCTCTGGAACTGAAAGGAGAGATCAATGCAAACATATATTATGGACCTTGAAAGAAACAGGACTTAAAAACAAATTGGTTTTGTGTGGCCTGTAAGAAGTGAAAGATGACACTGATATTTCAAGCCTAAGTCGATGGAAAGATAGATAGTGGAAAGATATTGGCACCATTCACATGAATAAAAAATGCAGAAGATTGAGTTTCAGAGGGGAGAAGCTAATCTGATGTTTAGAAACAGACTTTTAGCTACAGAGAGGGTACGTACATGAAAATGAGTAACACATCATAGAAAATATGAACTTAGAACTCAAGAGAGTACACAAGACAAAAATATAAACAACAAAATATTGAAGACTTCTGGTAAAAATTAACGTTCAAAAGAGATCAGTTATAATCCATTAAGAGTTGATGAGGCCTGCAGTAAACTAGAAAATGCATGCTCAGTTTGAATGCTGACCATACAAGCCATATCTGTAAATCAAGTTTTGTATAGAGATTGTCAGCTTATTATCTCTGGTATGTGTCAAGATGAGAGTTAAGAAAAAAAATCCCAGGCAAAAACATGCATTTATACAAACAGGAATATGAACCAGAAAAGCAGAATATAAAGTTGCATGAAAGTGAGGAGTGGTTAATAAAGGAGAAAGAGGAGAGCTAAGTACATATGCAGAATTACAACAGCCAGGGAAGAGACAAATGAAAATAAGTCAAATGACAAAGAGCACTAAGATGAAAAGACTGTTGGGTATTTTAGTCAGTGACTCCCCTGAGTGACATAGTACATTTTAAAGTGTCATGGGAAAGGTTTACAGAATAATTTGGACAATAGGGTTTTAGAAGCGTAAATATATTATTCTTTTAAGAATTTTGTAGTGAAGAGAATTGAAAGACAGCATTGCAGCTTGAGGGGGTGATACCGTTTGGCTGTGTCCCCACCCAAATCTCATCTTGAATTGTAGTTCCCATAATCCCCATGTGTCATGGGAAGGACCCGGTGGGGGGTAATTTAATCGTGGGGGTAGTTACTCTCATCCTGTTCTCATGATAGTGAGTGAGTTCTCATGAGATCTGATGGTTTTATAAGGGGCTTTTCCCCCTTTCTCTTGGCTCTTCTCTCTCCTGCCACCTTGTGAAGAAGGATGTGCTTGTTTACCTTTCCACCATGACTGTAAGTTTCCTGAGACCTCCTCAACCATGCAGAACCATGAGTCAATTAAACCTCTTTACTTTATAAATTACTCAGTCTTGAGCATTTCTTCATAGCAGCATGAGAATGGACTAATACAGTTAACTGGTACTGCACAGAGTCAGGTACTACTATAAGGAAACCTGAAAATTTGGAAGCGACTTTGGAACTGAGTAACAGGCCAAGGTTGGAACAGTTTGGAGGGCTCAGAAGGCAGAAAGATGTGGGAAATTTGGAATTTCTTAGAGACTTGTTGAATGGCTTTGACCAAAATGCTGATAGTGGTATGGACTATGAAGTCCAGGCTGATGTGGTCTCAGATGGAGATGAGGAACTTTTTGGGAACTGGAATGAAGGTGACTCTTGCTATGCTTTAGCAAAGACATTGGCAGCATTTTTCCCTGCCCTAGAGATTTGTGGAACTTTGAACTTGAGAGGGATGATTTACGGTTTCTGGCGGAATACATTTGTAAATGGCAAAGCTTTCAAGAGGAAGAAAGCATAAAAGATTAGAAAATTTGCAGCCTGATGATACAATAAAAAACAAAAATTCTTTTTCTGGGGAGAAATTCAAGCTGGCAGCAGAAACTTACATAAGTAATGGAGAGCCAAATGTTAATCACCAAGACAATGGGAAAAATGTCTCCAAGACGTGTCAGAGACCTTCATAACAGCCCCTCCCATCACAGGCCTGGAGTCCTAGGAGAAAAAAAATTAATTCCTGGGCCATGCCCAGGGCCTCCTGCTGTGTGCAGCCTAGGGACTTAGTGCCTTGCATCCCAGTGACTCAAGTAATGGCTAAAAGGGGCCAAAATATAGCTTGGGCCATTGCTTCAGAGGGTGCAAGCCCTAAACCTTGGCAGCTTCCATGTGATGTTGGTCCTATGTGTGCAAAAGACAAGAATTGAAGTTTTAGAACCTCAGCCTAGGTTTCAGAGGATGTTTGGAAACACCTGGATGTCCAGGCAGAAGTCTGCTGCAGGGGTGAACCTTCATGAAGAACCTCTGCTGAGCAGCATGGAAAGGAAATGTGGGGTCAGAGCCCCCACACACTGGGGCACTGCCTAGTGGAACTGTGAGAAGAGGGCCAATGTGCTTCAGACACCAGAATGGTAGACCCACCTACAGCTTTCATTGTGCTCCTGGAAAAGCCACAGACACTTAGTGCCAGCTACAAAAGCAGCCAGGAGGGGGGCTATGCTCCACAAAGCCACAGGGGTAGAGCTGCCCAAGGCCATGGGAGCCCATCCTTTGCATCAGTGTGTCCTAGATGTGAGACATGAAGTCAAAGGTAGTCATTTTGGAGCTTAAGGTTTAATGACTTCCCTATTGTATTTTGGAATTTACTATAACCTGTAACCCCTTCATTTTGGCCAATTTCTCCCATTTGAAATGGGTATATTTACCCAACACATGTACCCTGATTGTGTCTAGGAAGTAACTAATTTTCTTTTGATATTACAAGCTCATAGGCAGAAGAGACTTACCATGTCTCATATGAGACATTGGACTTGGATTTTTGAGTTAATGCTGGAATTAAGACTTTGGGGGACTGTTGGGAAGGCATGATTGGTTTTGAAAATGTGAAAGGAACATGAGATTTGGGAGGGGCCAGGGATGGAATAATATGGTTAGGCTTTGTGCTCCCACCCAAATCTCATCTTAAATTGTAATCCCCATAATCTTCACATGTCATGGATGGGACCCATTGAGAGGTAATTTAATCATAGAGGTGTTTACCCTCATGCTGTTCTCATGATAGTGAGTGAGTTCTCATGAGATCTGATGGTTTTATAAGGGGCTTTTACCCCTTTTGCTCAGCACATTTCTCTCCTGCCACCTTGTGAGGAAGAGCATGTTTGCTTCCCCTTCTGCCTTGATTATAAGTTTCCTGAGGCTTCCCCAGTCCTGTGGAACTGTGAGTCAATTAAATCTCTTTCCTTTATAAGTTACCCAGTCTCAGAGATTTCTTCACAGCAGCATGAGAATGGATTAATACAGGGAGTATAGGGATTTAGGGAAGTTTATTGTTTTTCTGTGTATGAGATCATTGTGAATTTGTTTTCATAATAAAGGGAAAAGATCTGTTTTTGAGTGAGAGGTTGAAAATAAATGAAGCAAAAGTCTGAGATGAGAGAAGGGAAGAAGAATGAATCCAGTATTTTAGAAGGAAAGAGACAAAATGTTTTCCCTGACATAAGAAATAAAATGGTGGTCGGTATAAATATACATAAATCTAAAAGTTGAAAAGGAGACCTTGAAGGAACTCATGTGATGATGTTTCCAACCCAAGCTAGATACTGATTATTTTTGATAATACTTAATTCAAGAAAAGCTAGAAATATGTTTTTTTAAAATTATTTTAACTTTTATTTTAATTTCAGGGATACATGTGCATGTCTGTCATACAGAAAAACTTGTATTATGGGGATTTCTTGCACAAATTATTTTTTTCACCCATGTATTAATATGCATGTATCAAACCTAGGGCCCATTAGTTATATTTCCTGATCCTCTCCCTCCTTCCACACTCCACCCTCTGATAAACACCAGTGTCTGTTGTTACTCCCATGTGTCCATGTGTTCTCATCATTTAGCTCTCAGTTATAAGTGAGAACATCTGGTATTTGGTTTCTTGTTCCTGCATTACTTTGTTAAGGGTAATGGCCTCCAGCTTCATACATGTTCCTGCAAAGGACATGATCTTGTTCTTTTTTTTATGGATGCATGTTATTCTATCCATCTATGTTTTAAAATACCAGTATTAACAATTAATTTTCTAATAAAAAGGTAGTTAAATTTACCTGCACTTATCAAAATGATGAATTGTGTTCAACATTGTTCTCAATAGTGAGAATGCTTAACTTGCAAAAAAGACCTTTATTGACAAAAATAAAGAACAAAACAAAATTTCAGGATATTTGCTCATTTTGTGTGCATGTAATTATTTCCATTGTAAAATATCTACTAAAATAAAATTTAGTTTTTTAATTCTTATATTTTTCATTTATAATAAATCTCTAAAGAGTACTGTTACTGATGATTTTTGATATTGGTTCTTGTAGTTTATGAACTTAAGAAAAAAATAGTAAAACTTCAAAGAAATACAGTTACCATGTGATATGTTTAGTTCTTAAGCATCACAGGAAACACAAGACAAAACATCCCTTTCTTTCATAAATTTTTTTGATAAATATTTCTTGAGAACTCTGTCAGCCAGAGCTGCCTTTGAAGCAATGGAGTGATAGTGCTTTATGCCAATGGAAGTAAAAATTTGTAGCTTATGAATGTGAGTACATTTTAGAGCTCAATAAAGTGATTTTCTTCTTCTGTAGTCATTTTTTAATATATTCTTATATATGTTCATTAATATACACCCCAAAATTGTGTGAATATACATATTCTGTGAGTAGGAGTTTGAGGTTTAAGATAAACCTCAATGTCTAGGAATCTCAGAAGGAGAGTTGTGTTGTACTTATTGTGTAACTAGTGAAGATGGAAATCTTTTCAACAATGTGTTTATTATACATTTCAAAATGTGTTGTATATTCAGATTTCTTTTTACAGATAGAACTAACTACAGTGATGCAAGGCATAAGAACATTTCAGTCAAGGATAGATAGCATAGAGGAAGGTAATCCTATAAGATTATAATGGAGCTGAAATATTTGTATTGCCTAGTGACATTGTAGGCATTGTAATATTGAAGTGCAGTGTGTTACTCACATGTATATGGTAATATAAAAGTATAGCATAGACAATTATATATACAGAACATAATGCTTGATGATAATTATAAACAACTATGTTACTGGTTTATGTATTTACTAAACTTTTTATAATTAATTTAGAGTATACATCTTCTATTTATATACATAAAAAGTTAACTGTAAAACAAAACTCAGACAGGTCCTTCAGGAGTCATTCAAGAAGAAAACATTGTTACATTGGAAATGACAGCTCCATGTGTGTGTTATTGCTCCTAAAGTCCTTTCAGTGGGACAAGATATGGAGGTGGAAGGCAATGATATTAATGATTCTGACCCTGTGCAGGTCTAGACTAATGTGTGTGTTTGTGTCTTAGTTTTTACATAAAAAGTTTAAAAAATAAAATATTAAAAAATTAAAAAATAGAGAAAAGTCTATAAAATAGGGATATGTGTAAAATATTTTTCTACAGCTGTGCAATATGTGACTTAAGCTGTTATTACAAGAGTCAAAAAGTTACAAAATGTTTATGAAGTTAAAAAGTTACATAAGCTAATATTAATCCATTATTTAAAAAAGAAACACCTTATTCCTTTTATTTTTAGTTGCCACATAATAATTGCACATATTAAAGGGATACAGAGTGATATTTCAATACATGTATACAATGTGTAATGATCAAATCAGGATAATTAATATATCCATGACCTTGAACATTAATTATTTGTTTTCACTGTGAACATTCAAAATTCTCTTCTAGCTTTTAAGAACATACACTGAATTATTGTTAACCTTATTCACCTTATAGTGCTGTATAATGCTTATTCCACTCACCTTGCTGTAACTTTGTACCCATTAACCAACCTCCCCTTATTCTTCCCCCACACCTTTCCCAGCCTCTAATAACTGCAATTCTACTCTAAACTTCTGTGAGCTCAATTTTATTTGTTTAGCTCCCACATATGAGTTACAACATACAGTATTAATCAGAGATAAATATTTTAAAATAAATATTGTGTAGTCTGAGTACAGTGTCTATACATTCTAAAGTAGGGTATAATAATATGCTGGCCCTTCACATCCATGCACCGCTCACTCACAGACTCACCTAGAGCAATCTTCTGTGCTGCAAGATTTACTCATTATAAGTGCCCTATGCAGGTATTGTTTTTTGAATCTTTTATATTATATTTTACTGTGACTTTTCTATGTTTAAATATGTTTAGATATTCAAATACTGACCATTGTTTTCCAATTGCCTATGCTATTCAGTACAGTAACATGCTGTACAGGTTTGTAGTCTAGAAGGATTAGGCTGTACCATATAGTCTAGTTATGTAGTAGGCTATAGCATCTAGGTTTTTGAATTACATTCTAAATGATGTTTGCACAACAGTGAAATTGCCTAACTATGCATCTATGTCATTAAGCAATACATGACTGTACAGTGTGAAAATGTAAACACTTCCACCACTTTGTTTCCTCTATAAGGTAAAAAATAGATGAAAATGTATTTATCTCAACTCTCAAAGCAACATATTTTCTCATTTAGTAATATAGTTTAGGTAATATAGTCTCATAGTGAAGAATAATCCAGTTATAGGGGTAAAACAGTGACATTATTATGGGTGAAATCTTGTGAGAGAAACAACTAAAGCAAAATTCATTTCCTCAAACAAAATTATTGAAATCTCTGTGAAAGTAAGTTATCTTGAAGACTTGAAGTCTTTTTTTTCCTCTTTATTTTATTTCAATAGTTTTGGGGGCACAGGTGGTTTTTAGTTACATGACTAAGTTCTTTAGTGGTGATTTCTGAGATTTTGGTGCACTTGTTACCTCAGCAGTGCACACTCTTCCCAATGTGTAGTCTTTTATCCCTCACCCTTCTGCCACCCTTCCCCTGAGTCCTCAAAGTCCATTATATCACTCTGTACCTTTGTATCCTCATATCTTAGCTCCAACTTATAAATGAGAACATATGATATTTGGTTTTCCATTTTTGAGTTACTTCACTTAGAATAATGGTTTCCAACTTCATCCATGTTGCTGGAAATGCCATTATTTCATTCCTTTTTATGGCTGAGTAGTATTCCACGGTGTATATATACCACTTTTTAAAATCCATGCATTAATTGATGGGCATTTAGGTTGGTTCCATATTTTTGCAATTGTGAATTGTGCTGCTATAAACATACGTGTGCAAGTGTTTTTTTTTTTAAATATATAATGACTTCCTTTGCTTTGGGAAAATACCCAGTAGTGGGATTGCTGGATTGAATGGTAGTTGTACTTTTAGTTCTTTAAGGAATCTCCATACTGTTTTCAATAGTGGTTATACTAGTTTACATTCCCACCAGCAGCATAAAAGTGTTTCCTTTTCACCACATCCACCGCAATGTCTATTATATTTTGATTTTTTAATTATGGCCATACCTAGAAGAGTAAGGAGATATCTCATTGTGGTTTTCATTTGCATTTCCTTGATAATTAGAGATCTTGAGTATTTTTTCATATGTTTGTTGGCCATTTGTGTACCTTCTTTTGAGAATTGTCTATTCATGTTCTTTGCCCAGTTTTTGATGGGATTATTTTTTTTCTTGCTGATTTGTGAAGAATGTCGCTGGTATTTTGATAGGGATTGCATTGAATCTGCAGATTGCTTAGGGTCATATGGACATTTTAACATTTTTGATTCTTCCAATACATGAACATGGAATATCTTTCCAGTTTTTGGTGTCCTCTACAATTTCTTTTGTCAATGTTTTATAGTTTTCATTATGAAGATCTTTCACTTTGGTTAAATAAATTCCTAGCTATTTAATTTTATTTCTGGCTATTGTAAATGCGATTATACTTAAAACCCTTTTTTGATTTTACAATGTTACCATATAAAAATGTTACTGATTTTTGTATGTTGATTTTGTGTTCTGCAACTTTATAGAATTTGCTTATGAGTTCTAATAGTATTTTTCATGGAGTCTTAAGGTTTTTCCAAATACAAGATCATATCATCTGCAAACTTGGATTACCTGACTTCTTCCTTTCCAATTTGGAGGCCCTTTATATGTTTCTCTCATCTGATTGCTCTAGATAAGAATTCCAGTACTATGCTGAATAACAGTGGTGACAAAGGGCATCCTTGCAGTGTTCCAGATCTTAGAGGAAAGACTTTCAGTTTCTCCATTTTTAGTATAATACTAGCTGTGGGTCTGTCATATATGGGTTTTATTATACTGAGGTATGTTCCTTTTATACCCAGTTGTTTAGGGTGTTTATCATGAAGGGATGTTGAATTTTACAAAATGTTTCTTTTAGCATCAATTGAAATAATTAATAACCTTTTTGTTTTTCATTCTGTTGATATATCACATGGATCGATTTTCATAGGTTGACCCATCCTTGCATTCCTGAAATAAATCCCACTTGGTCATGATGACTGATAGTTTCAATGTGTTGTTTAAACCAGTTTGCTAGTATTTTGTTAAGGATTTTTTCATTAATCTTCATCAGATATATTGGCTTTGGTTTTCTTTGTCTGGTTTTGGTATCAACGTAATACTGACCTCATAGGATGAGTTTGAATGTGCTTCCTTCTTCTCTATATCTTGGAATAGTTTGAGTAGGATTGGTATTAGTTCTTTAAATGTTTAGAATTCAGCAGTGAATCTATCAGATTCTGGACTTTTATTTATTGGAAAATGTTTTATTACAGCTTTATTCTTGTTACTTGTTATTGGTCTGCTCAGATTTTGAGTTTCCTTAAGGTTAAATTTTGTTAGGTTGTATGTGTCTAGAAATTTGTCCATTTCCTATGGATTTTTCAATTTATTGGTATATAGTTGCTCCTAGGAGCCGCTAATGAACTTTTGAATTTCATCAATATCCATTGTAATGTCTCTTTTTCAACTCTGATTTTATTTACTTGTGACTTCTCTCTTTTTTTCTTAATCTGGCTAAACATTTGTTAATTTTGCTTAACTTTTCAAAAGAAAACAACTTTCTGTTTTATTTGTCTTTTATATTATTTTCTTTATTTCTGTTGCATTTATTTCCGCTCTAATCTTTATTATTTTCTTTCTCCTACTAATTTTGAGTTCAGTTTATTCTTGCTTTTCTAGTTCTTTAAGATGCATTGTTAGGTTGTTTGTTTGATTTTCCTTCTTTTTAAATGTAGGCACTTATAGCTATAAACTTCCACCTTAGTACTGCTTTTTCTGTATCCCATAGGCTTTTGTATATTGTGTGTCCATTATCATTTACTTCAGAAAAATTTTCAATTTCCTTCTTAATTTCTTAATTGACCCACTGGTGATTCAGGAGGATGTTGTTTACTTTCCATCTGTTTCTATGGCTTCCAAAATTCCTCTTGTTATTAATTACTTGTTTTACTGCATTGTGGTCAGAGAAGATTTTTGACATTATTTCCATCATTCGAATGTTTTACTTGTTTTGTGACTTAATATATGGTCTGTCCTTCAGAATGATCCATGTGCTGAGGAAAAGAATGTGTATTCTGCAGCTCTTGGATGAAATATTCTGTAAATATCTATTAGATCCATTTTGTCTATAGTGCAGATTAAGTCTGATGTTTATTTGTTTACTTTCTGTCTAGAAGATCTTTTCAATGCTGAAAGTGGGGTGTTGAAGCCTCCAGCTATCACTGCATTCGGGCCCATCTATGTAATGAATGCGAATAATATTTGCTTTATTTTTCTGGGTGCTGCAGTGTTAGGTGCATATATGTTTAAAAAATGTGTTTCTTGTATACAACAGATCAATGGGTCTTTTTTGTCCTCAGTCAGCCACTCTGTGTCTTTTGATTGGAGAGTTTATTCCATTTATATTCAATGTTATTATTGGTGAGTAAGGACTAACTCTTACTGCATTGTTTATTTGTTTTCTTGTTGTTTTGTGATCTTCCTTTTGTTCTTTCCTTCCTTCTTGTCTTCTTTTCATTGAAGGTAATTTTCCCTGGTGATATGATTTAGTTCCTTGTTTTTTATTTTGTGTGTATATGTTGTATGTTTTCTGGTTTGCAGTTACCATAAGGCTTGCAAATACTATCTTATAACCCATTATTTTAAGCTGTTAACAACTTCACCCTGTTTGCAAAGGCAAACAAACAAAAAGAAAACTAATAAAGACCCTACACTACCTTTGTCATTCTGCTTTTTTACTTTTTATTGTTTCTATTTACAATAATATTGTATTGTCAAGGTCATAAAAAGGTTGAAGTTTTTATTTTTTATTGGTTCATCATTTAGTCTTTCTATTTAGGATAGAAGTAGTTTACACACCACAGTTACAGTGTTAAATTAGTCTGTGTTTTTCTGTGTACTTCCTGTTTGTTACCAGTAAGTTTTGTACTTTTAGATGTATCTTATTGCTTGTCATCAACTTTCTCTTTCTGAATGAAGTACACTCTAGCATTTCTTGTATGACAGGTCTGGTGTTTATAAAGTCCCTCAGAAGCTTTTGTTTGCCTGGGAAAGACTTTATTTCTCTTTCATGTTTGAAGGATACTTTAGCTACGTATGGTATGCTAGTGTAAATTTTTTTTTCAGCATGTTAAATATGTCTTGCCACTCTCTCCTGGCCTGTAATGTTTCCACTAAAAAGTCTTCTGTCAGACATATTGCAGCTTTATTGTATTAAAGATGTTATTATTTCTTTACTTTCTCTTGTTTTTTTTTTTGTTGTTGTTTGTTATGGATCTTGTATTAGTCCGTTTTCACACTGCTGTAAAGAACTACTTGAAACTGGGTAATTTATTAAACAAAAATGTTCAATTGACTCACAGTTCCACAGGCTTAACGGGAAGCATAACTGGGAAGCCTCAAGAAACTTACAATCATGGTGGAAGATTAAGGGGAAGCAATGCACATTTTCCCATGATGGAGCAGGAGAGAGTGAGAGAGTAAAGGGGAAGGTGCTGCACACTTTTAAACCATCAGATGTCGTGAGAGCTCACTCACTATCATAAGAACAGCAAGGGAAAAATCTGCCCTGATGATCCAAAAACTTCCCACCTGGCCCCTCCTCCAACTCAGTTGAGATTTGGGCAGTGACGCAAATCCAAAACACATCAGATCCTTTCTTTATCTTTGAACTTTGAAAGTTGATTATTAAATCCCTTGAGGTAGTCTTCTTTGGATTAAATCTGCTTGGTGTTCTATATTCTTCTTGTATTTGGCTACTGATATCTTTCTCTAGGTTTGACAAGTTCTCTGTTTTTATCTAGTTTAATAAACTTTCTACCTCTCTCTCTTTCTCTATCTCCTCTTTAAGGCCAATAACTCTTAGATTTGCCCTTTTGAGGCTATTTGCTAGATCTTGTATGCATGTTTCATTGTTTTTATTTTATTTTTTCTGTTTTTGCCTCTGACTGTTTTCAAATGACCTGTCTTCAAGCTCGTTAATCCTTTCTTCTGCTGGATCTTTTCTGTTTTTAAAAGATTCTGATGCATTCTTCAGTATGACCATCACTTTTTTCCACTCCAGAATTTCTGCTTGATGCTTTTTAATTATTTCCATCATCTCTTTGTTAAATGTATCTAATAGAATTCTGAATTTCTTCTCTGTGTTATCTTGAATTTCTTTGCATTTCCTCAAAGCAGCTATTTTGAATTCTTTGTCTGAAAAGTCACATATCTCTGTTTCTCCAGGATTGGTCACTGGTGCCTTATTTAATTCATTTGGTGAGGTCATGTTTTTCTGGATGGTTTTGATACTTGTAGATGTTCATCAGTGTCTGGGAATTGAAGAATTCAGTATTTATTGTAGTCTTCTCAGTTTGGGCTTGTTTGTACTCATTCTTCTTGGGAAGACTTTCCAGATATTTGAAATGACTTGAGGTTTGTGATCTAAACTGTATCTACTTTAGGGGGCTCCTGAAACCCAGTAATATGGTGGTTCTTCCAGACTCATAGAGGCATCTCCTTGATGGTCTTAGGCAAGACACAGGATAATTCTCTGGATTACTAGGCAGAGACTCTTCTCTTCCATTACATTTCTCAGGCAAACTAAGTCTCTTTCTCTTTTCTGAGCCATATGGAGCTGGGGATGGAGTGACACAAACACCTTTGTGGCCACCACCACTGGTACCGCACTGGGTCAGACCTGAAGCCAGGACAGCACTGGGTCTTACCCAAGGCCTGCTATAACCACTCTCTGGCTACTGCCTAGGTTCACTGAACCCCTGGGCCTGTATAATCAGCAGATCACAAAACCAGCCAAGCCTGTGTCCTTCCCTTCAGGGCAGCATGTTTACCCCATGCCTCAGGCAGGCCCAGAGTTGCCATTTGGGAGCCATGTACTGAAGTATTATAAGTCCATCTAGTGTTCAATTGTATTGCAGCTGGACTAGAACTCAAATCACAAGATGCAGTCCCTCCAACTCTTTCTTCCATTTTCAAAAGCATAGGATCCTCACCCCATCACCTCTGCTACCACAAGCCCAAAAGGAGGACTGTCAAACTGGGAAGCCTCAAGAAACTTACAATCATGGTGGAAGATTAAGGGGAAGCAATGCACATTTTCCCATGATGGAGCAGGAGAGAGTGCCTGCTTAAGGCTGAAGAGCTCTTTACCACCTATGCCTGCTTAAGGCTGAAGAGCTCTTTGGTCAGCTTGCGGTGAATGCTGCCTGGCCTGTAACTCTCCTTTCAGTGCAGCGGGCTCCCCTCTGGCCCAGGGAACATCCCCAAATGCCATTCAAGTGCCACATCCTGGAATTGCAGACCTCAAGATCCCACTTGGTTCTCTATTCCACTGTGGCTGAGATAATACCTAATGTGCAAAACAAAGTCTCATTTACTTTACCCACTGCTTTTCTCAAGTGAAAGGAGTCACACCTCATTTTGGCACATGCTGAGTCTTACCTGAAGCCAGACAGTCTCAGCTGCTCACCCAATGCAATCAATGTGGTACCTGGGTATTACTGCTGGATACTCAGGGCCCAAGGGCTCTTCAGGGAGCAGGTGGTATATCCTTCCAGGACTGGGTCCTTCCCTTAAAGGCAGCAGGTTCCCTTTTGGCCCAGTTTATGTCTAGAAATGTCTCCCAGGATCCTTGGAATGGGGGCCTCAAACCTCTGACCAGTGCCCTATCCTGCTGTGGCTGAGCTGGTATCCAAAGTCCAAGACAAAGTCTTCACCACTCTTTCATCTTCTCTCTTCAAGCAGAGGGAAGGAGTCTCTTTTGGAGCCATGATCTATGTAGTCTGAGGCTAGGGGATGAGTGATACTAGCTTCTTTAGCTCCCCTAGCTGGATTCTCAATAGGTCATATACTTCCCAGTCCACTGGCTCATGGTCAAGTTCAGCACTAAGACTCACCTAGGAGTTGCAGTCTTTTTGGCTTAGACTCACTTTCAAGCTTATTTAAGGCCCCAGAGTACTTTGTCCCACTGTGTCAAGGCTTCCAGGAACTCAAGTTCTGACTGCTGGGATCAGCAATCACCCTTTGGCTAGGGCTGCTTTAAATATTTCCTTCACGTGTGGATGTCAGCTGAGTTTTTTTCTAGTTTTCTGCTATAATAGGTCTGCACTAAGTTCAATGCCTCACAATTGCTGCACTATTCCTCTCCTCAGTACACAGAAATGTTCTCCACACCAGGCTGCCACTGCTGGGGGATGGGATAGCAGTGGCACTGGTGATTCAAGATTACCTTTTCAGTGCCTCTTTCAGTGACAGAAAATTAAAACTAGGTACTATGAGTGCTTACTTGATTTTTGGTCCTTATGAAGGTGTTTTCTTGGTGTAGACAATTGTAAAATTGGTGTCCTTGGGGACGATCAGTGGGGCCTTCCATTTTGCCATCTTGCTCTGTCCCTTTTTGATGTTGCTTTTCATTAATTACACCTTTAGCAAGAGAGTTCAATAGAAGAGACTTTTCATACCTGGACTACTCTTCTTTTACTGAATAGAGTCTCCCTATTTAAGTCATTTAGTTTTGCATATCTCAGTTTTTCCATTTGTGAAATGGAGAGAAACATATTGAATATGTATCACTAGGTAACTGCAATAAAAGTAAGGTGTTTGAAAATAGAATACTTTAAATGAATATATAGGCAGCATTATTTACCATTCTCACACTAGTTTTTGTTTACCACTAATTAGGATCATATATATGAAATATCTTTTTACAACTATAAAATATTTAATATTCATTCACTGTTGCTGCACATTGAAGGATTTAGATACTTAGTGAAGTATCTAAAATCATCAAATTCATAGAATCAGAAAGTTGAACCATGATCACCAGAGCCTGGTTTGTCCCTGACTATGCATAAACGTATTCAAGTAAAAATATACCTACTGTTTCTTATTTCAACGAGTAAGGATAGAATAGCAATGGCTTGAAGTAGACTAGGTATTTTTTGTCACCCACAGAAATCTCAGAATATGCATATGTGGATTTATTTGTTTGCTTATATTTTAAGGAGCTATAGCCTTTTGAGATATGCATAGTGTGTCACTGAGAGATATTTAATAGCTGTGAAAGCCAGTTTGTTGAGAAAATATAACAAGTATTAGATACAAAGCATTTTTTAGATATTATTTTATATATGTATGAGTATAGTATATGCATGTGTGTATATGTGTATCTGTATATTTTACTGATTGGCAGTAACTCATCGATATGCAACATAAGATCAAAAAACAAAGAACATAGGGCAGAAAGGTGAGGTATTTCATTAGTTAATAGAAGAATTTGAGGATTTCTGAGTTTCTTTCTAGCCCATGATTTTAAAATGATAGTAATAATGATAATAATAACAAAAATAACTGTACTCGTTAGGTATTTACTGCATGTTAGGCATGTCATATTTTATATTTTATCAAGTCACAATAACCTTGTTTGTTTGATATTATTACCCTTGTTAGGCAAATGACAGAAATTGAGGCTCAGGTTTAATAATTTGCTGAAGTCTACACAGTAAGTATTGAAACAAAATGAGTTTAACTTGTGCTTCTTTATGACCTAATTTTAAAATATTTAGATATAACTTACATGCCACAACATTTACCCTTTAAAAGTGTACAATTCACTAGTTTTTACTGTATTCACAAAGTTGTAAATTTATCACAACTGATATGACTAGGCTTTGTGTCCCCACCCAAATGTCATCTTGAATTGTGATTCAAATCAGGACTTGAGCCCTGTGTCACAGCTGCTCCAGCTATGGCTAAAAGGGGCCAAGGTACAGCTCAGGCCATTGCTTCAGAGGGTGCAAGCCCTAAGCCTTGGCAGTTTTCACGTGTTGTTGGTTCTGTGGGTGCATGGAAGACAATAATTGAGGTTTGGAACCTCCACCTAAATTTCAGAGGATGTATGGAAATGTCTGGATGTCCAGGCACAGGTGTGCTGCAGGGGCAGAGCCCTAATTGAGAAACTCTGCTAGGGCACTGCAGAAGGGAAATATGGGGTGGAAGCCCCCACACAGAGTCATCACTGGGTCACTGATTAGTGAAGCTATGAGAAGAAGGCCACCATCCTCCAGACCCCAGAATGGTAGATCCACTGACAGCTTGCACCATACGCCTGGAAAAGCCATAGACATTCAATGCCAGACCATGAAAGCAGCCAGGAGGGGGGCTGTACCCTGCAAAGCCACAGGAATGGAGCTGCCCAAGGCACTGGGAGCCCACCTCTTGCATCAGCATGACCTGAATGTGAGACACGGAGCCAAAGGAGATCATTTTGGAGCTTTGAGATTTCACTGCCCTACTGGATTTCAGACTTTCATGGGGCCTGTAGTGCCTGCACTTTGGCCAATTTATGACACTTGGAAAAGAGTGTCCAATGTCCTTACCCCTGTTGTATCTAGGAAGTAATTAACTTGCTTTTGATTTTATAGGCTTGTAGGTGAAAGAAACTTGTTTTATCTCATATGAGACTTTGGAATTGGACTTTTGAGTTAATGCTGCAATAAATAAAGTCTTTGGGGGACTGCTGGGAAGGCATGATTGGTTTTGAAATGTGAAAGGGCCATGAGATTTGGGAGAGGCTGGGGGTGAAATAACGTGGTTAGGGTTTGTCCTCCCACCCAACTCTCATCTTGAATTGTAATCCACATAATCTCCATGTGTCAAAGGAGAGGCCAAGTGGAGATAATTGAATCACAGGGGTGGTCTCCACCATGCTGTTCTCTTGATAGTCAGTTTTATAAGGGAGTCTTGTTTCATAAGGGGCTCTTCACCATTTTCTCAGCTCTTCTCCTTCCTGCTGCCTTGTGATGAAAGTGCCTTGCTTTCCCCTCATCTTCTGCCATGATTGTAAGTTTCCTGAGGTCTCCCCAGCCATGTTGAATTGTGAATCAATTAAATCTCCTTTTTAAAATAAATTACCCAGTCTCAGTCAGTTCTTTATACCAATATGAAAATGGACTAATGCACCATTATTTAATTCCAGAGAATTTTCATAGAAAATATTGTACCCATTAACATTTACTCCCCATTCCCTCCTTCCCCCAGCCACTGAAAACCACTAATGTACTTTCTGTCTCTAAGGATATTCCTACTCTGAACATTTCATTTGAATGTCATAATACAATATAGGATCTGTTTGTGCCTGGCTTCTCTTGCATAGCATAATGCTGCCAAGGTTCATACATGTTATAATATGTACTTCATTGATTTAAAAATTCTAAACAATATTCCATTGCATTGATATTCCGCATTTTAATTTTCCATTTATCAGTTGATGGATATTAGGCTTTTCTTCACTTTTTAACTATTATGAATAATGCTGCTATTAATGTTCATGCACAAGTTTTTGTGTTGACTTACATTTTTAGTTCTTTGGGGTATATATCTAAAATTCAAATTGTGTGGTCATATGTAATTCTATGGTTAACTTTTTGAAGAACTACCATACTCTTTGCCACAGCCCAAATGAGTTTTGCAAACGATATAATACTTCGGACATAGATTCCTAAAATAGCTCCCCAAATTCATAACAATGAAATTTTTTAAAACCCTACTGTTTTTCTTTTTTTATAAGGTGAATGCCCAAGTGTAGCTTAATGGATTGACTGATAAGTGAGTATTCCATGCACTGGTAAAAATATTAACCAAACAGCCATTGCAATTTGATGATTCAAACTGATGCAAGGAAAGAGAAACCTCTAGAGGATATCTGCTTATTTTCCTATTACACCATGACATTTTCTGTTTTGTTTTGCAGTTTTAATTGAAAGGTGGATGCTACCTTAAATAAGTATCAATATACACTCAAAAATCTGTATCAACTCAGTTACTATTACCGTCTGTCTTTAAAAGTTATGTGTTTAAAAGTCAGTATTACTTTGTGACATTTATTAATAGAAAAACTATATTGTTTAATTGTACAAAATCAAAGGAAAAAAATTATTGCAAAAAGAATTTATAACTGAGTGGTCTGTGGACTTTAATACTCTTTTCTGTAGTTTTGTATGAATGTAGTTTGTTGTTTCTGAATGACAGTAAAACATTTTTTGTGTGTCACTTCATTTAATAGAATTTCTTTTAAAGTTGGCCAACTAGAAACATTAAATTCTGTAGTAACAGGTACTTCTGACTTTGTATTAATTGGGACTAATACTGTTAAAGGATTGGTAGTTAAGTGACTTACCCAAGATATCAAAGCTAATAAGCTAAAAGAAAAACTTGAACTCATTCCTTTATATAGAGATGTAGACTTGGATTTTTTTTTTTTTTTTGAAGAGGATGGTTTGGAGAAGGGATTAAGACCAATTATGCTGGAGCATTAAAGACAGACAAGAATAGCTGTGATAGTACCTGAAATGATTCTCATAAGTTAAAGTATGTCTGAGACTGAAGTCTATTTATTTGAAGGATATAGAGAATGTGAGCTTTGAGTGGATTTGGGTATTTTATTCTTTTTCCCTTCTAGTTATTTTAAGCCAAATTGAAAGTATTAATATGCACCGTGATCAACTGGCCAATGTGGTTTGCCATATACACTTATATTATAGTTGAACTGAAAACTATATGAGTAGGAAGAAAAATGTGAATTAACTAATATTAAAGGCAATGTTAGGGAGGACATCAAACTACACAATTGGATGAGATATGGAGGAAGAGGAAACAAATGTATCCCACATTCAAAACTCTCCTTACTCTGATAATCTGCCCTCAAGTGTTAATGGGGGAAATTTCAAGTTATATATGAATAACAAACAGATTCTATGCATTATCAATGAGTACATAAAAGGCAGTTTCAAAGTCTGACATTTTCAGAGCCATTCTTTATTAGAGTTCATTTGATGGAAAGGAACCTTTTCTAGGATATTATCTTGTCAGGTATTATCATTGCATGGCATTGTCTGCCTACTCCCAAGTATCTCTTACTGCAATGTTACAATAAGATGTGTTTTAGCTTTGAAAAATAGCAGACCATTTCTTATTAGATTTCCCTGAAAAGGAAGTTTAAGGTAGAGACATGATTCAATTATAGTGAAGTCATTTTCTTGGTATATTTCTGCTTACTTTTTAAGAACAAGATGTCTCATCATAAAAAAGATAGGTAAATGGGATGATGAACATGTTAATGACTTCAATTTAATAATTCCACATTATATACATATATCAAAACATCATATTGTACACAATGAATGTATATAATTATGATTTGTCAATTAAAAATAATAATTTAAACAAAAAAGAGAGAACAATATGACTAGAATGTAAGCTTCTTTGAGGAAAGGTTTTTATTTTTCTTCTCTTTTACTCACTACTAGATCTCCTGCACCTATAACAGTGTCTGGCACATGGTAGATACTCAGTATATGTAAACCTGTCAAATAAATTATTTAATGGCTAATAGATCATAAAAATATTAAGATTGACTTTTGTTCTGAAATATTTCTAGAATCAGTCATTGAAAAATCAAGATTCCTGATAGGAAGAAAATATCGTACTTTTTCCTAAAAATGTAAATGAAGGTAAAATGAGCTAGAATTATGCCAAGGATATTTACTTTTGTAAATAAATTAGGGAACATTCAAAACAAGATCTGAATTTTAATAATCACTACTTTAGTTCGCAAAGGTCTGACAGTTAAGTTCTTCACATGAATTAGTGAGGGGAAGGAACATTGCTTTTATCAAGGCCAATACTGTTGTAAGTTTTTATTCTTTGATTCACGCTAAACATTTTTTAGTTGGTTTACTTGATTTTGGACTGCACCTCTGAGAACAAATGTCTATGGGCTACCTGGGTTTCTTATATTTTGAGGATTTTTTGTGGATTTGGCAGTTTCTCCCTATTTGGTCTTTTCATTCCCAACAGTAACAGCTTAAACCATCTTCAAATAATGTTGATTTCAATAGAATTTCAAATAAATACAACTTAAGGAATCTTTTTCCAAAAGGAGCTCTCATTGTTTGGCGGAGTAGAGGTTTTCATTTAAAAGAGCATATTTTAATAACCTTTATGTTTTGGAATAATTTTATATTTACAAAAAAGTTACAAGGCTGGTACAGAGTTTCTACATGCCCCTTAACCATTTTCTTCGATTGTTAATTTTTTATATCACGATGGTACATTTGTAAAAACTAAGAAATTGACACAGGAACATTACTATTAGCTAAATGATGCGATGTTTTAATAATTCAACTTAGCTATTTTGATGGATAGAAAATGATTTTGAAGATAAAGCCTTCAAAACTAAAAGACTAGAAATTCATTAATGATTAACACATTGATTGGGTATGCTTTTAATGGAAACTTTCCTTTAAAACAAATTAAATGCAACTATCCAGCTTTATATTACAAAAACTGCTACAGGATCCACAGGCAGGGTGACTAATACATTTTAAAATATATAAATTCTTTGAGGTATTGAGTTTATTTTCCCTTTAATTATATATAGTTGGCAATATTTTGTAGATTTGAACTTAATGGCAGCATTCTGGTTTTTCCTTGTAAATTTTGGAGTTTGAGGATGAACCAACTGATTTTGTTGCTATTTATGTTTAAGAACTAGTCTAGGAAGTCCATCACTGCTCAGTAGCCATAATCCTTGTTCTTAGAGCTAAGACTGGGCTATGACGGTATAATGATTACAAATCCAAAGTTTGCAAGCTGCTTTAAGAAGGATTGTAATAGCCTTCACTTTTTCTGCCAACTGAAAGGATTTATCTTTGTATATTAAAAAGACTGGTTTCTAAAACAGCATATATAAATTTGAGAAAAGTAACAGTCTCTTATACCTACAATGGTTAAAAATGTCTACCAGATAAAACACGAGTGTAAATAACCCACGTTTGTTCTGTTGTATAATGCACTTTAGGATTCTTTATTAAAAACGTGCAATGTTGTCATATCAATTTTTTTCAGAGCGAAGGATCTTTTAAAAAACATTTTAATTGATACATAATAATTGTACATATTTACAGGGTGCATGTGATATTTTGATACGTGCATACAAGGTGTAGTGATCAAATTAGGGTATTTAGGATATCTATTACTTTGAACATTTATTATTTCTTTGTGTTGGGAAAATTTAGAATATTTTCTTCTAGCTATTTTGAAATATACAGTATAGTGTCAATAACTATAGTCCCCCTACTATGTTGTAGAAGCACAAGAACTTACTCCTTTTATCTAGCTGTATATTTGTGACTATTAAGCAACTTCTCTTCAACATCTCCCACCCTTCCAAGTCTTTGGTAACTATCATTCTACCTTCATGAGATCTGCTCTTTTAGCTCCCACATATGAGTGAGAACCATGCAATATTTGTCTTTCTGTGCCTGGCTTATTTCCCTTAACATAATGACCTCCAGTTCCATCCATGTTCCTGCAAGTGACAGGATTTCTTTTTTTTAATGGCTAAACAGTATTCCATTCTGTATATATACACCACACTTTCTTTACCATTCACTTGTTGATGGACACTTAGGTTAATTTTATATCTTTGCTATTGTGAATAGTGCTGCAATAAACATATGATTGCAAGTGTCCCTTTTATAAACTGATTTTCTTTCCTAGTAGTAGGATTACTGGAATGTACAGTAGTTCTATTTTTAGTTTTTTGAGAAATCGTTATACTGTTTCCCACAATGACTATACTAATTTACTTACCCAGGAACAGTATATTCTTGTATATCCTCCACATCCTTGCCAGCATCTGCTATTTTTGTCTTTTTGATAATAGCCATTCTAACTGGGATAAGATGATATCTCACTGTGAATTTAATTTGCATTTCCTCAATCATTAGTGATGTTGACCATTTTTTCATATACTTGTTGGCCATTTGTATGTCTTCTTTTCAGAAATATCTATTCGTGCACTTTGCTTACTTTTTAAATTGGATTTTTTTGTGTGTTGAGTTCCCTGTAAAATTTTAATACTAGTCTCTTGTTAGATGAATATTTAAAAAATATTTTCTACCATTCAACAGGTTAGTTGTCTCTTCCCTCTGTTGATTATGTCCTTAGCAGTGCAGAAACTTTTTAGTGTAAGTCCCATTTGTCTATTTTTGTTTTTGTTGCATGTCTTTTTGAAGACTTAATCATAAATTGTTTGCTTAGGCCAATGTCAAGAAGAGTTTTATTTAAGTTTTCTTCTAGGATTTTGATAGTTTTGAGTCTCGTGTTTAAGTCACATTTGAAAACAATATATTTGTAATAGCTTGTACACAGTTGAATTAATAAACATGATTCTGCTTTTTGATCATCTTTTCATTTGGAAAAAACTATTGCCACTGCTAAATTGCAGTTCAGCTGTTAGTATCTTCTAAGGGACTTGTAAGAGCAGTCACAGTATGCAATAACTGTTAGATAGAGTAAAAATAAAAAAAAATACACATACTTTGAAAAAGAATAAATTCTTCATCATACCGTTAATACTATTACAAAAAAAAATAAGATTCAGGCTCTCCAGTGTGTTTAAGAAGAAATACAGGTGTTTCAAATTTTACTCTGGCTTTTGGGTGTTGAGATTCTCTTTGCTTAAGTTGCCTTCTTGTTGCTGTATGCTTTTCTTCTGTTAGAGGCAACATATGGTTTTAAATTACTTGTGAAACACTCAATGAGCTTCCTGACTCCCTACTTATACAGAGGGAATTCATTGTATTTTAGTGATAATTGGATTTTCCTCGTTTTTTTTCCACACAGTGGTTATTTCTAGTTTTCATTTTTTAATTGTTTAGAGATGACAGTTTTATTTAAACATAACCAAGAGTACTCATTACATTTAAAATAATGGGAAATGTTTGTCATTTTACATTAAGTGCCTCTGAGAGGAACAAGAAAGGAATTTAATAGCCACATGAGAAACTGTAAACACACACACACACACACACATGCACACACACAATTTTGTGGTTATTTAGGGACTATAAATATTTAATACCATAGATAAGTTTGTCTTATTTATAGGTTGTATTGGAAATTTTAAAATGTTTTTTCATAAGTGCTTAAATGTTTCATACAATATGTAAGATTGAAACTATGTGAACAATCCATTTGGTATCAAAAATAAAAGATACTCTGACTCCAATGAAGTTTAACAAAACTAAATTATGTTATGCCATATAAGTCAACATAAACACAATTAATTCTACTTTCTCTAATATTGGTTTTTTAAATATACTGTTACCCTGTTATAAGCTTGTGTGAACTTCTGCAACATTTTAATTTAAAATCCAGACGTTTCTATGAATGCTGCAATAGAAGCAATCAGTTAATTATCTGATAAAGATTAAAGGAGACATACAGTACAAAATTCAATTAAATTGCATACAATTGCTTAATATGTTGAGAGCTGTTTCTACAGGCAACCAAAATTAAAATTATGCGTCACTAGGGAAATACTGTTTTATTTTCCCTGTCTGTATTTCCTATTGACTTACGAGATTTTGCTCTATTTTAATGTGATCTCTTCCCATCTGCCCTATAAAGCTATTGCTATAATCATCCTCTTAGTTATTTTACTACAGTACTTGCCCTGGTGGTTTTATTAGTTCAGAGGCAAATGTTTAATCATCAGGATATTGCTAAATAAGTGTAATTACCAACATTGAAGAAGATGACAGAGCTACACATAAGTCCTGTTTATGTCTCTGTTTAATTGAACACCCATATATTTTAGACACAAATGAGACTACTTAATTCTCCAGTGAAGATGCTTCTTGCTCTGTATACTCTGCCTATCTAAAAGAAAATGATGAATACTAGATTTTAGCTTCTTACTTCTATTGTTTTCCATTTCCAGCCTGTGATAAAAGGAGAAAAAATATGCATAGTGTTAATTTTCTAGGTAGAATGGTCTATAGGCAGTTGTGTAAGTGCAGAAGTATTTTCTTAATAGGATTCCTTGTTTGCAGAGACATTGAAAAGTCTACCAGCCAAAGTACACACTCTAAACTATAAAAGATGACAAGTACCCCTGAGGAATATAATTAGGAAGGGAAATAGGGCCTCAGGGAATTTCATTCTTTTACATATTTCTGAATTTTTAGAAATTGTTGCAATGAATATATCGTTTACAATGATTTTCTTTTTAAAATCAAAACAACAAAGGTTTTCGTAGTCACAGAATTTCACTCTCCGTCAGATGTAGCCTACATGGTGTCTTACTTGTTTGGCTTTTCCATACTTTCCATCTCCACTCTGTCTGCATTTGCCAATAACCATATTTTAAAATGCATTTGCCAATAACCATATTTCTGCCAAATTAATAATATGTACTTTTAGGTTAATCTGATAAAATAATCAGAATAGTCAAGAGTGAAGAATGTGTGGTGAAATATTTGATAATTCCAATCAAACCATGTAAGTACCCATTTTTTTTGGCTGTCTCTAAGGATAGCCTTGGTACTATGCCTCAGTAACTTTATGGAAAAACAACATCATATGACCAGCAGATATTTCAATAGAAAATTTATTTTATTTAATTATTTAATTATTTTTATTTTTAAAGTTCTGAGGTACATGCGCAGAATGTGCAGGTTTGCTACATAAGTAAATGTGTGCCATGGTGGTTTGGTGCACCTATCAACCCATTACCTAGGTATTAAGTGCAGCATGCATGAGCTATTTTTCCTAATGCTCTCTCTCGCCCTACCCCACCCCCTGACAAGCCCCAGTGAGTGTTGTTCCCTTCCTTGTGTCCATGTGTTCTCATTTTTCAGCTTCCACTTATAAGTGAGAATATGCGATGTTTGGTTTTCTGTTCCTGCATTAGCTTGCTGAGGATAATGGCTTCCAGCTCCATCCATGTCTGTGCAAATGACGTGATCTCATTCCTTTTTATGGCTGCATAGCATTCCATGGTGTATATGTACCAAGTTTTCTTTATCCAGTCTATCATTGACGGGCATTTGGGTTGATTCTATGTCTTCGTTATAGTGAATAGTGCTGCAATGAACATACACATGTATTTATCTTTGTAATAGAATGATTTATATTCCTTTGGGTATATACCCAGTAATGAGATTGCCGGTTCAAGTGGTATTTCTGGTTTTATATCTTTGAGGAATCATCACACTGTTGTCCACAATGGTTGAACTAATTTACATTCCAACAACAGTGTAAGAGTGTTCATATTTCTCTGCAACCATGCTAGCATCTGCTGTTTCTTGACTTTTTTAATAATTGCCATTCTGACTCGTGTGAGATGGTAACTCATTGTGATTTTGATTTGCATTTCTCTAAGCATCAGTGATGTTGAGCTTTTTTTCATATGTTTGTTGGACACATGAATGTCTTCTTTTGAGAAATGTCTTTTCATGATACTTGCCCACTTTTTAGTGGGGTTGTTCATTATTTTTTTGTAAATTTGTTTAAATTCTTTATAGATTCTGGATATTAGACCTTTGTCAGATGGACGGATTGCAAAAATTTTATTCAACTCCGTAGGTTGTTTGTTCACTCTGATATTAGTTTATTTTGCTGTGCAGAAGGTCTTTATTTAATTAGACCCCATTTGTCGAGTTTTGCTTTTATTGCAGTGGCTTGTGGTGACTTTGTCATGTAATCTTTGCCTGTTCCTATGTTCTAAATGGTACTGCCTAGATTTTTTCCCAAGGTTTTTATAGTTTTGGGTTTTATATTTAAGTCTTTAATCCACTTTGAGTTAATTTTGATATAAGGTGTAAAGAAGGGGTCCAGTTTCAATTTTCTGCATATGGCTAGCCAGTTCTCCCAGCAACATTTATTAAATAGTGAATATTTTCTCCATTGCTTGTTTTTGTTAGATTTGCCAAAGATCAGATGGTCGTAGGTGTGCAGTCTTATTTCTCAGTTCTCTATTCTGTTCCTTTGGTCTATGTGTCTGTTTTTGTACCAGTACCATGCTGTTTTGGTTACTGGAACCCTGCAGTATAGTTTGAAGTCTAGTAGTGTGATGCCTCCAGCTTTGTTCTTTTGGCTTAGGATTGTCTTTCCTATATGAGTTCCTTTATGGTTCCATATGAATTTTAAAATCATTTTTCCTAATTCTGCGAAGGATGCCAATGGCAGTTTAATGGGAATAACATTGAAACTATAAATTACTTTGGGCAGTATGGCCATTTTCATCATATTGGTTCTTCTTATACATGAGCATGGAATGTTCTTCCATTTGTTTGTGTCCTCTCTGATTTCCTTGAGCAGTTGTTTGTAGTTCTCCTTTAAGAGGTCGCTCACTTCCCTTGTTAGCTGTATTCCTAGGTATTCTCTTTGTAGCAATTGGGAATGGGAGTTCATTCATGATTTGGCTCTCTGTTTGCCTCTTGTTGGTGTATAGGAAGGCTTATGACTTTTGCACATTGATTTTGTTTCCTGAGACTTTGCTGAAGTTTCTTCTCAGCGTAAGTACCTTTTGGGCTGAGACGATGGGGTTTTCTAGATATAGGATAATGTCATCTGCAAACAAAGACAATTTGACTTCCTCTCTTCTTATTTGAATACCCGTTATTTTCTTCTGTTGACTGATTGCCCTGGCCAGAACTTTCAATACTGCGTTGAATAGGAGTGGTAAGGGAAGGCATCCTTGTTTAGAGCCAGTTTTCAAGGAAAGTGCTTCCAGCTTTTGCCAATTCAGTATGATTTAGGCTATGGGTTTGTCATAAATGGCTCATATTATTTTAATGTATGTTCCTTCAATACCTAGTTTATTGAGAATTTTTAACATGAAGGGATGTTGAATTTTATCAAGGGCCTTTTCTGCATCTATTGAGATAATCATGTGGGTTTTGTCTTTAGATCTGTTTATGTAATGAATTATGTTTATTGATTTGCATATGTTGAACCAGCCTTTCATCCCAGGGATGAAGCCAACTTGATCATGGTGAAGAAGCTTTTTGATGTGCTTCTGTATTTGGTTTGCCAGTATTTTACTGAGAATGTTTGCATCAATATTCAACAGGGATATATTGGCTTGAAGTTTTTGTTGTTGTTATTGATATTATTGTATCTCTGCCAGGTTTTGGTATCAGTATGATGCTGGCCTCATAGAATGAGTTAGGGAGGAGTCCCTCCTTTTCAATTGTTTGGAATATTTTCAGAAAAAGGAATATCAGCCCCTCTTTGTACTTCTGGTAGAATTTAGCCTTAAATCCATCTGGTCCTGAGGTGTTTTTATTGTTTTATTTATTTATTTTTTTGTAGGCTATTTGTTACTGCCTCAATTTCAGAACTTGTTATTGATTTATTCAGGGATTCAACTTCTTCCTGGTTCCATCTTTGGAGGGTGTATGTGTCCAGGAATTCATCAATTTATTCTAGATTTTCTAGTTTATTTGCATAGAGGTGTTTATAGTATTCTCTGATGGTTGTTTGTATTTCTGTAGGGTCAGTGTTGATATCCCCTTTATCATTTTTTATTGTGTCTTTTTTGATTTTTCATTCTTTTTTTCTTTATTAGTCTAGCTACAGGCCTATCTATTTTATTATTTTTTTTTTCCAAAAAAAGAGCTCCTGGATTCATTAGATTTTTGTGTCTCTATCTCCTTCAGTTCCACTCTGAGCTTCGTTATTTCTTGTCTTCTGCTAGCTTGGGGATTTACTTGCTTTTGTTTCTGTAGTTTCATTAGTTGTGATGTTAGGGTGTTGAATTGAGATGTTTCTAGCTTTTTGATGTGTTCATTTAGTGCTATAAATTTCCCTCTTAATTCTGCTTTAGCTGCCTCCTAGAGATTCTGGTATGCTGTCTCTTTGTTTTCATTGGTTTCAAAGAACTTCTCGATTTTGTCTTTAATTTCATTATTTACCCAGAAGACCTTCAGAAGGAGGTTGTCCAATTTCCATGTAGTTTTGTGGTCTTGAGTGAGTTTCTTAATCTTGAGTTCTAATTAAATTGTGCAGTGGTCTAAGACACCATTTGTTAATATTTCAGTTATTTTGCATTTGCTGAGGAGTGATTTACTTCCAATTATATGATCAGTTGTAGAGTAAGTGCCATGTGGCTCCAAGAAGAATGTATATTCTGTTGTTTTGGGGTAGAGAGTTCTGTAGATATCTATCAGGTCCACTTGATTCAGAGCTGAATTCAAGTACAAGATATCTTTGTTAATTTTCTGTCTCAATGATCTGTGTAATATTGACAGTGGGGTGTTAAATTCTCCCAATATTATTGTGTGGTAGTCTAAGTCTCTTTGTGGGCCTCTAAGAACTTGTTTTATGAATCTCAGTGCACCTAAATTGAATACGTATGTATTTAGGATAGTTAGCTCTTCTTATTGAGTTGATCCTTTTACCATTACATAACACCTTTCTTTTTTTTTTTTATCTTTGTATTTTGATCTTGGTTTAAAGTCTGTTTTGTCAGAATCCAGGATTGCAACCCCTTTTTTTATCTTTTCCATTTGCTTGGTAAATTTTCCTCCATCCTTTTATTTTGAGCCTATGTGTGTCTTTGCACGTGAGATGGGTCTCCTGAATACAGCACAACAATGAATCTTGACTCTTCATCCAGCTTGCCATTCTTTCTCATTTTCATGGGTTTATCTATCTTTGATCTTTGAGGCTGTTGACCTTTGGATGGGGTTTTTGTAGGATCTTTTTCATTGATGTTGTTGCTTTCTGTTTGTTTTGCTTTTATCAGTCAGGTCCCTCTTCCGTAGTGCTGCTGTGGTTTATTGGGGGTCCACTCCAGACCCTATTCACCTGAGCACCTCCCACCCCTGAAGGGCGGCTAGAAAGAAGGGCCAGGTTAGTTATAAAGGAAAGCCCATCAGACTAAGAGCAGACCTTTCAGCAGAATCCCTACAAGCCAGAAGAGATTGGGGGCCAATATGCAACATCTTAAAGAAAAGAATTTCCAACCTGGAATTTTATATCTGGCCAAACTAAGCTTCATAAGCTAAGGAAAAATAAAAATTTTTCAGGCATATAAAAGAGTGCTTTTCAGGGAGAGGCAGCACGATCCCTTACTGTATTCCTTGGCTTGGGGAGGGAGCCCCCTTTGCCCTGTGCAGCTCCCAGGTGGGCCATCACTCCACCCTGCTTTTCCTCGCTCTCCATGGGTCATACCAACTGCCTAGTCTGTCCCAGTGTGATGACCTTGATACCTCAATTGAAGATGCAGAATTCACTCACTGTTTTCATCCTTTTTGGTGGGAGCCAGAGAGCAGAGCTGTTTCTATTTGGCCATCTTGGCTGCTCCCCCTATTTATTTTTAAATGTTTTATTTTTATTTTTTGTGGGCCCACAGTAAGTATATATTTATGTCATGTATGAGATATGTTGAGACAGGCATACAATGTATAATAATCACATCAGAGTAAAAGTTGTATCCATCGCCTCAAGCAATTATCCTTTGTAATACAAACAATCCAATTATACTATTTTAGTTATTTTTAAATGTACAATAAATTATTTTGACAATAGGCACCCTGTTGTGCTATCAAATACTAGATCTTACTCATTATTTCTACTATTTGTACCTATTAAAAATCCTGACTTCTTCACCACCCCAGTACCTTTCCCAGCCTCCAGTAAACATCATTCTGCTCTCTATCTCCATGAGTTCAATTGTTTCAGTTTTAGCCTTCACAAATAAGTAAAAACATGTGACATTTGTCTTTCTGTGCCTGGAATATTTCACTTCACAAAATGACCTCCAGTCCCATCCATGTTATTGCAAATGACAGAATCTCATTCATTTTTATAGGTGATTAGCACTCCATCGTGTCTATGTACCACGTTTCTTCATCCATTCATCTGTTGATGGACAATTACGATGTTTCCAAATCTTTGAAATTGTGAATAGTGTGGCAACAAACATGGAAGTGTGGATATCCCTTGGATACACTGATTTCATTTCTTTGGGGTATATACCTAGAGGTGGGATTGCTAGATTAAATGGTAGCTCTATTTGTAGTTTTTGGGGGGAACTTTGAAACTGTTCTCCATAGTGGTTGCAGTAACTTACATTGTGACCAAAAGTGTAAGAACATTCCCTTTTCTCCACATCCTTACCATCATTTGCTATAGCCTATCTTTTGGATAGAAGCCATGTGGTGAGGCAATATCTCATTGTAGTTTTGATTTGCATTTTTCTAATGATCAATGATGTTGAGTTCTATTTCGTATGCCTGTTTGACATTTGCATATCTTCTTTTGAGAAATGACTATTTAAAACTTTTGCCCATTTTGAAATCAGATTATTGGATTTTTTTCCCTATAGAGTTATTTGAGTTCCTTATATATCCCGGTTATTATCCTTTATTGGATGGGTAGTTTGCACATATTTTCTCCAATTCTGTGGGTTGTTTCTACACTTTGTTGATTGTTTCCTTTGCTGTACAGAATCTTTCCAACTTGATGTGATCCCATTTGTGCATTTTTGTTTCAGTTGCCTGTGCTTACACGGTGTTACTCAATAAATCTTTTCCCAGTCCAACGTACTGCAGAGTTTCCCTAAGGTTTTCTTGTAGTAGTTTCATAGTTTGAGGCCTTGGATTAAAGCCTCTTATTAATTTTAATATGATTTATGTATATGTCAAGAGATAGGGGTCTAGTTTTATACTCTCCATATGGATATCCAGTTTTCAAAGCATCATTTATTGAAGAGACTTTTTCTAAATGTATCTTCTTGGCACCTTTGTCAAAAATCAGTTTGCTGTAAATGTATAAATTTATTTCTGGATTCTCTAATCTGTTCCATTGTTCTATGTGTCTGTTTTTATGCCAGTATAATGCTGTTTTGGTTACTATAGCTCTGTAGTATAATTTGAAGTCATATATGTGATTTCAAATAATCAGATAATATCTTATGAAATAGTCAGAAAATGTGGTGCAAGCACTCCCTTAGCCACCCTGGCTGGTGTCTCACTATGTTGCATGTTCCCCAAGTGCACTGGCTCTGAACCCAGCACAGCACTAAGACTTGCCTATGAGTTGCAGTCCTTGTGGCGTAGACTACTTTTCAAGTTTATTTAAAACTCAGGAGCACTTTTTCCCCCAGTGGCAAGGCTTGATGAAAGTCAAGTTAGGACCACTGGGGTGAATAATTCCACTCAGGATAGGGATCATCTCAATGTTCTCTCTGTATTCATCAGCTGACTTCTTCCCGGTGTCAGCAGTGCTGAGTTCCAGTGATAATTCCCACAATTTCTGCACTCTCCCTCACTAAAGCACAGAGATTCTTTCTCCATACAATGCATCCCCTGCCATCATATGAGAGAGTGGTGTTGGCAATTCCAAACTATCTTTCCTACCCTGTTAATGCCTCTTTCAGTGATAAGAAGTTAAAGCCAGGTACTGTGATCACTCAACGAATTTTTGGTTCTTATGTAGGTGTTTTGGGTGTAGACAGTTGTTAAATTTAGTGTTTCTGTGATGAGAATGATTGATGGTGGTTTCTATTCTCCCATCTTGCTCTGCCTTTCAGCAGAAAATTTATAGGCCAGAAGAGAATGTGATGATATATTCAAATTGCTGTAATAAAAACAATCTGCCACCCAAGAACACTGTCCATTGGATTATCCATCATAAATGAAAAAGAATTATTCTCTCCCAGGCAAGCAAATGACAAGGGAATTTATTACATTAGACCAGGCCTATAAGAAATGCTCAAGGAGCTCCCAAACCTGGACATGAAAGGATGACATTTACCATCATGAGAATACACAAAAGTATAAAAGCAGTAACAAAAAAGAGGAAAATAAAGGACTCACATTTTATCACGACAGAAATCCAACTGACCACAATGACAATCTTGTTACAGCTTTTTTAAAACACCGAGGTAAACAGAAGGCTTCCTAACTCATTCTATGTGCCCAGCATCACCCTGATACCAAAACCAGACAGGGAAGTCACAAAAAAGGAAAACTACAGGGCTATGTATTTCTTGAACATGGACACAAAAATACTCACAAAATACTAGTGAATCAAATCCAACAGGACAACAGAAAGACAATACACCACAATCAAGGAGTGTTTATTTCAGGGAGCCAAGGATGTTTCAACGTACACAAATCAATAAACATGATACTTCACATCAACAGAATGAAGGAGAAAAGCCATATTATATTCTCAATAGATGTAGAAAAAAGCATTTGATAAAATTCAACATCACTTCAAGATAAAAACCCTCAACAAACTAGGCACAGAACTATCAGATTTGATAATAATGAAGGCCATATTTGAAAAACACATAGCTAACATTATTCTGAATGGGGAAAAGTTGAAAGCCTTTTCTCTAAGAACTGGAACAAGACATGGATGCCCAATTTCATCACTCCTACTTAACGTAGTCCTGGAAGTCCTAGTCAGAGGTATCAAGTAAGATAAAGAAATAAAAAGCATCAAAGTTAAAAATGAGAACTTCAAATAGTTTCTCTTTGCTTATTCATTTTTTTTTTTTATTTTTGAGACAGAGTCTCACTGTGTCACGTAGGCTGAAGTGTGGTGGCATGATCTCGGTTCACTGCAACCTCCAACTCTCGGGTTCAAGGCATTCTCCTCCCGCCTCAGTCTCCCAAGTAGCTAGGATTAAAGGTTCCTGCCATCATGCCTGGCTAATTTTTGTATTTTTAGTAGAGATGGGGTTTCACCATGTTGGCTAGGCTGGTCTCAAACTCTTGATCTCAAGGTATCTGCCCACCTCGTCCTCCCAAGTCCTGGGATTACGGTCATGAGCTACCATACCCACCCTCAATAATCTTATAACTAGAAAAATCTAAGGACTTTACCAAAACCTCATGGATGTGATAAATGAATTCAGTAAATTATAGAATATGAAATCAATGTACAAAAATCACTAGCATATCTATACACCAACAATGATCTAGCTGAAAAAGAAATCAAGAAGACAATCCCATTTATAATAGCAACAAAAAATAAAATACCTAGGACCAAATTTAACCAAGGAAGTAAAAAATCTCTACAAGAAAAACTACAAAACACTGATGAAATAAGTTGAAGAAGACACAAACAAATAAAAATTATCTCATTCTCATGGATCAGAAGAATTAACACCATTATAATGACCCTACTGCCCAATGAAACATACAGATTTAATTTAATCACTATGAAAATACCAATGCCATTCATCACATAATTAGAAAAAAATTCTTAAAATGTATATGGAACAAGTAAGAACCTGAATAGCCAAAGCAATCTTGAGCAGAAAGAAGAAAGCTGAAGGCATCACATCACCTGACTTCAGAATATACTACAAGGCTATAGTTACCAAAACAACATGGCATTGGTATGAAAATAGACACATAGACCAATGGAATAAAATAGATAACCCAGAAATAAATCCAACTGATATATTTACAAAGCCAACAAGAACTTACATTAAGGAAAAAATACCCTCTTTAATAACTAATGCTGAGAAAATTAGATAGCCACATGTAGAAGAAACTGGACTCTTATTTCTCACCATAAAAAACTACTCTGAATGGATTACAGACTTAAATATAAGACCTGAAACTATCAAAATACTAGAAGAAAACCCAGGAAAAACTTTCCTGAACAAGGAGTTTGTGACAGACTCCAAAGCATATGCAACAGAAAACAAAAATAGTAAAAGTGGGATATAATTAAAGTAGAAAGCAAATGATATAATCAACAGAGTGAAGAGACAACCAGCTTGTTGAACAGGAGAAAATATTTGCAAACTAATTATTTATAAGGAACTAATATCCAGAATATACAAGGAACCCAAATGATAGGAAAATAACCCAAGTAATCCTATTAAAAACTGGGCAAAAAAACATGAACAGACATTTCTCAAAAGAAGACACACAAACACGCAACAAGTTTATGAAAAAATGTTCAACATCCCTGATCATCAGAGAAATGAAAATTAAAAGCATAATGAGATGCCCTCTTACCCAAGTAATAATGGTTATCATTAAAGAGACACACACAAAAAAACAGACATTGGCGAGGGTGTGGAGAAAATTATACATTGTTTTTTGCAATGTAAACTAGTACAGCACTATGGAAAACAGTATAGAAATTTCTGAAAAACCTAAAACTAGAACTTTCATTTGATTTAACAATCTCTACTGGATATCTACCCAAAGGAAAAGAAATCAGTATATCAAATGGATACCTGCACTAGCATGTTTATTGCAGCACTATTCATGGGAGCAAATATATGGAATCAACTTAAGTGCCCATCAACAGATGAATTGATAAAGAAAATGTGGTATATATACACAACTGAATAATATTCAACCATAAAAAGAATAAAATTGTGTCATTTACAGCAACATGAATGAAACTTGAGGTCATTATCTTAAGTGGAATAAGCCTGGCACAGCATAAAGACCTTGCATATTCTCACTCATATCTGGTAGATAAAATATTTGATTACATGAAGTAGAGAGCAGAAACATAGGTAACAGAGACTGAGAAGGCTGATGGAAGGGAGGAACAACACAAGTGTGTTATAAGGTATAGGCACGCAGGAAAATAGCAGGAATAGATTCAATGCCTGATAGCAGAGTACAGTTACTATACTGAACAAAAATATATTGTACTCAGGTGATGGACACCTTAAATACTCTGAATAGTTTCCTACTGAAACTATTCCAAAAAGTTGAGGAGGAAGGTCTCTTTCCTAACTCATTTTATGAGACCAGCATCACCAAAACCTGGCAAAGACACAAAAACAACAAAAAAGAAAACTCCAGGCCAATATTCTTGTGGAGCATAGATGCAAACATTCTTAACAAAATACTAGCAAACCAAATCCAGCAGCACATCAAAAAGCTAATCCACCATAATCGAGTAGACTTTATCCTTGGAATACAAGATTGGCTCAACATAAGCCAATCAATAAATGTGATTCATCACATAAACAGAACTAAAAGCAAAACCACATAATCATCTCAGTAGCTGAAGAAAAAACTTTCAATAAAATTCAACATCCCTTCATGTTAAAAACCCTCAACAAACTAGACATTGAAGGAACATACTTCAAAATAATAAGAGCCATATATGCAAAATCCACAGCCAACATCATACTGAATGGGAAAAAGCTGGAAACATTCCGCTTGATATACAGAACCAGAGAAGGATGCCCACTCTCTTCACTCCTATTTCACATAGTACTGGGAGTCCATGCCAGTGTAATCAGGCAACAGAAAGGAATAAAAGACATCCAAATAGGAAAAGAAGAAGTGATATGCAATCCCATTCACAATAGCCACAAAAAGAATACAATTCCTAGGAATACAGCTAACCAAGGTGGTAAAAGACCTCTGCTATGAGAATTACAAAACATTGCTCAAAGAAATTGGAGATGACACAGACAAATGGAGAAACATTCCATTCTCATCGACAGGAAAAATCAACATTGTCAAAATTGCCATACTGCCCAAAGCAATGTACGGGTTCAATGCTATTCCTATCAAACTACCAATGACATTATTCCCAGAACTAGAAAAACTATTTTAAAATTCATGTGGAACCCAATGCAATCCTAAGTAAAAAGAAAACAAGGTGGAAGCATCTCATTACCCAGCTTCAAAATATTCTACAAGGGTACAGTAATCAAAACAGCATATTATTCCTACAAAAACAGACACATAGACCAATGGAACAGAATAGAAAGCCCAGAAATAATGCTGCACACTTAAAACCATCTGATCTTTGACAAAATTGAGCAAAACAAGCAATGGGGAAAGGACTTGGTATTCAATAAATGATGCTGGGATAACTGGCTAGCCATATGTAGAAGATTAAAATTGGACTCCTTCCTTACATAATATACAAAAAAACTCAAGATAGATTAAAGACATAAATCTAAAACAAAAAACTCTAAAAACCCTGAAAGATAACCTAGGAAATATTATTTTTGACACACGACCTGGCAAAGACTTTATGACAAAGATGCCAAAAGCAATTGCATCAAAAACACAAGTGGACAGATAGAACCTAATGAAACTGAAGAGCTTCGGTACACCAAAAGAAACTATCAGCAGATTAAACAGACAGAATGTGAGAAAATATTTGCAAGCTGTGTATCCAACAATGGTTTAATGTCCAGAATCTGTAAGGAACTTAAACAAATTACAAGCAAAAAACAAAGAACCCCATCAAAAAGTGGGCAAAGGACATGAACAGACACCTTTCAAACGAAGGCACAATGTGAACTACAAGCATATGAAAACATGCTCAACATCGCTCATCATTAGAGAAATGGAAATCAAAACTACAGTGATATATCATCTCATACCAATGACAATGTCTATTACTAAAGAGTCAAAAATAATAGATGCTGACAAAGTTGCAGAGAAGGAAACACTTATGCACTTCTGCTGGGAATGTAAATTAGTTCAGCCTTTGTGGAAAGCAAAGTTTGGTGATTCCTCAAAGAACTTGAAACCAAATTGACCCAGCAGTCCCATTATTGGCTGTATTCCCAAATGAATATAAATTGTTCTACCATTATGACAAATGCATGCATATGTTTATTGCAGGACTATTCACGATAGCAAGGAAATGGAATCAACCTAAGTGCCCATCAACAGTAGACTGAATAAAGAAAATATGATACATATACACCATGGAATACTATGGAGCTGTAAAGATGAATGAGATCATGTTCTTCGCAGAAACATGGATGGAGTTTGAGGCCATTATCCTAAGCAAACTAACAAAGGAAGAGAAAAAACAAATAATGCATGTTCTTTCTTATAAGTGGGACCTAAATATTGAGAACATATGGACAACAAGAAGGGAACAACAGACACTGGGGCCTAGTTGAGGGTGGGTGGTGGGAGGAGGGTGAGGATCAAAAAACTACCTATCACGTACTATACTTATTTACCTGAGTGATAAAATAATCTGTACACCAAAACCCCATGACATGCAATTTACCTATGTAACAAAACTGTACATGTAACCCTGAACCTACAATAAATGTTAAATAAAATAAAAGAAGAAATACATGTTTACTTTTCTAGAAACAATGTACTAGTCAGCTAAAGACAGATAGTTTAAGTTAAAAAATATAGTTTTCATCTCATACCAAATATAACTGTGCAAATTGTTTTCCTTAAAAATAAATGTGTAGCAAAATATGTGTATACTTCTCAGTATAATCTGTAAAAGTAATACCTTTTTCTAAAAATGTCTGAAACACTACATTTATAGTGCATTAAAGCAGATAGACACAAACATGGCTAAAGTCAAGTCATTTTATTGTACTGATTGTTTTAAAAATGACATTTGCTGTAATGAAAGCAATCAAAAAGTTGTTGCAATAATTATGACCGAAAAAATTAAAGCAACAACTGTTTTCCAAAAATTGATTTAATTGGAAATTGAATTTGACAACTTGTTAAAGGAGGGAAGTAGAGGATAGAAAGTTTCTCTGATTATAACAGGTGGCATAGAATCCATATGGAATTTTAAAAATACCTGAATAATTTATATGTAACTTTTGTTCTGACAGCATTTCCACTTTTTCATTATATTTTTAGAGGTCTAGTCTAGGGGGGAAACATCTGATGATATTTGGTGTCGAGCCTAGGGGAAAAATATTTAATAATATTATTGATTAAAATATAAAAATTGGAATTGATTCAAGGCATTTAAGGAGCATTTCCCAAGAATAAATTTTACATTTATTACTGAAACGAAGAACACATACTTTGAGTTATACAGAAGCCATGTCCTCCAAAATTACTCCTGGCTAGTCTTTGAACTTCTGATTTAAGTACCTAAGGTCCATTTTCCTAAGAATATTCTATCTTTAAATAAAATAATATGGCAAAAGATAGCCAAGTCATGTTTTTAAAATAGTATGCAATTTTCACATTCTGACAATAGTGACTAAGTAAAATGTAGGAAAGAAGATTATTTATGTATTTAATATATCTACATATAGTGAATTTATACATGCAAACTCCTGTTTTTAAATTATACAGAAATATTTTTCATATATTTTACAAGAAAGTTGCTAAGGAAACATCACAGTGTAAATGAAGCACTTATGTATTCTTATTTTATTTTACTTTGTTTTATTTTATTTATTTATTTTGAGGAGTTTTGTTCTTGTCGCTCAGGCTGGAGTGCAGTGGCTCAATCTCTGCTCATTGCAACCTCCACCTCCTGGGTTCAAGCGACTCTCCTGTCTCAGCCTCCCAAGTAGCTGGGATTACAGGTGCCCACCACCATGCCCTGCTAATTTTTGTATTTTTAGCAGTGATGGAATTTCACCATGTTGGCCGGGCTGGTCTCGAACTCCTAACCTCAGGTGATCTTCCCTCCTCAGCCTCCAAAGTGCTGGACTTACAGGCGTGAGCCACCACGCCCAACCAGCACTTATGTATTCTTATCGTAAATGTTAGTGACATTGTTATACGGTTAATTGATATATAGAACAGGTATATATGACACAAGTAGGAAGCTAATATGTATACTATAAGCACTTTAAGGAAGTATTGTAATTCATTAACAATGAGAAATGACAAATACATTTTTCTTATGTATATATTTTTTGACAGAGTCTCACTCTGTTGCCCAGGCTGGAGTGCAATGGCAGGATCTTGGTTCACTGCAACCTCCACCTCCCGAGTTCAAGCAATTCTCCTGCCTCAGCCTCCCTAGTAGCTGGGATTACAGGCGCTCGCCACCATGCCCAGCTAATTTTTGTATTTTTAGTAGAGACGGGGTTTCATCATGTTGGCCAGGCTGGTCTCCAACTCCTAACCTCAAGCGATCCGCCCACCTCAGCCTCCCAAAGTGCTGGATTACAGGCATGAGCCACCATGCCCGACCTTCTTCTTATCATTTTAAACAGACTGATAGTGAGGCTTATGAAAATATCATCTCTCTAACATCTATGAAAATCCATAACAATAGCTCGTGAACTCTGTTTAGCAGAGTAATAGCAGTTTCAATTACTTGCCTTTTAAATGTTGAATGTCGAATCTGAACAGTGAAACTGTCAAACTGTCAAAAATATATATCATAGGCATTTTTTTCTTATCATGTTAAGAACTATGCAAATGTAGCACAGCAATCCTCTTCGTAGAGCTAATACTGTTTCTTTTCCCTCAGTAATAATAAGATTTTTCAGAGTGAAAGTTGCAGAAACGAATTCTGTATTTAAATGCAATTTTTCTGGGCTTGGTGGAGGGAAGAATCTCAGAGCTAGTGGTGGATTTATTTATTGACTTAGTATTCTTTTTCTTTTTCTTTTTTTTTTTTTTTTTTTTTTTTTTGAGATGGAGTCTTGCTCTGTCGCCTAGGCTGGAGTGCAGTGGTGCGATCTCGGCTCACTGCAAGCTCCGCCTCCAGTGTTCACTCCATTCTCCTGCCTCAGCCTCCCCAGTAGCTGGGACTACAGGCGCCTGCCACCACGCCCGGCTAATTTTTTGTATTTTTAGTAGAGACGGGGTTTCACCATGCTAGCCAGGATGGTCTCTATCTCCTGACCTCGTGATCTGCCCGCCTCGGCCTCCCAAAGTGCTGGGATTACAGGTGTGAGCCACTGCGCCTAGCCTTGACTTGGTATTCTTTTTTCTAAAGCATATAAAGAAGTTAGGAAGCATTTACTCTCTTGTACTGTGAGAGGAAAATTAAGATTAGAAAAATTATTCAGCCTACAAATGAATTTCTCAATGCAGCACCCAATATGTCCTAGAGTGGGCATGTCTGGTGTCTCAGATAATAATTATGTGAAGAAAAATGATATGAACATTTAGCTTGTTTTAGGCTTGACCAAAGTTCTGTTAGGCCCTAGGAACTTGAGCTGAGGTCGTCTTCACTACCAATGGGACTACCTCAATTTTTGTATTTCTGAGTGAAAATAAAGAGATTTCAGTGTTTTAAATAACATTAGAAGGCACAGAAATGGAGTGAGATGAGACAGATTTGGGATTCCTGTGCCTTTCTCTCTACCAGTTTTGTATTCAAGTCATGTTATTGTCATTAAAATTTTTAGCAATTAAGCACACAGCCTATAATTTCTGCTTCTCTGGAGGCTTGAGGCCGGAAGATCACTTGAGCCCAGGAGTTCCAGACCATCCTGGGCAACATAGTGAGAATGAACTCTCTAGATCCAGGTCAACTACCACTTTGATCCAAACTACTTGTGTAAATAACATGTGATAAGTCATAAAAATGTGCCCAGTATTACAATCTTTTCTGAATAAAACCACCAGAGAATGGTGAGAATGAACGCTCCACTGCCAACAGAGTCAATAATAGGTTTTACTCATCAGTAAACTGACTCCTATCATGATTGCAACAAGTGGGCTAGGTTTGTAAATTTGTAAATGAACATTTGTAGATTGTTAATGTTTATGTTATAACAGCTATGCTGAAGGCCAAAGGCTTAACTTCAGTCCTGTCGTTAAGCTCTCAATCAAAGGACTTTTAATATACTTTCTGAAAAGTGCTCGTTCTTCACTTCTGTGTCTCCTAGTTTGTCTCTTGTCCTGGTTGCCCGGGAAGTTATAATACACAATGTGTGACATTCTTTTTACTATAGCTCTCATTATAATTGTAATTCTGCAAGCTAAGATTAATGAACAGTGATTGCTACAGTGTTCAGAATGAAGGGATGAATTAACAAATGCATTTTTTAAAAATCATCAATAAAATTTCTATAATTGTAAAGTTAAATTAAAAATAATCAATATATTTGGCAATATACATTTTTTCATGTTATGAAGGAAAGTCCTTCAGCATATATAGCTTTTCTAATTAAAATTTTGACTAAATCTAAAAATATACCTGTTACAGAAATTTCCCATTGTTACAGTGTCATGAGAGTTTTCTGGGGAACGTTTTTGTTTGCAATCCTAGACCAGCCTCTTATTTTGAAAATATCCCAACACCATTTATTAAATAGGGAATCCTTTCCCTATTGCTTGTTTTTGTCAGGCTTGTCAAAGATCAGATGGTTGTAGAAGGGTGGTGTTATTTCTGAGGCCTCTGTTCTGTTCCATTGGTCTATATATCTGTTTTGGTACCAGTACCATGCTGTTTTGGTTACTGTAGCCTTGTAGTATAGTTTGAAGTCAGGTAGTGTGATGCCTCCAGCTTTGTTCTTTTTGCTTAGGATTTTCTTGGCTATACGGGCTCTCTTTTGGTTCCATATAAAATTTAAAGTAGTTTTTTCTAATTCTGTGAAGAAAATGGTAGCTTGATGGGGATAGCATCAAATTCAGCAAACTAACACAGGAACAGAAAACCAAACATCACATGTTCTCACTCATAAGTAGGAGTTGAACAACGAGAACACATGGACACAGGGAGGGGAACATCATACACTGGGGCCTGTTGAGGTGTAGGGTCTAGGGGAGGGATAGCATTAGGAGAAATACCTAATGTAGATGACGGGTTGATGGATGCAGCAAACCACCATGGCACGTTTATACCTATGTAACAAACCTGCACATTCTGCACATGCATCCCAGAACTTAAGTATAATAAAAATAAATAAATAAAAGTATCAGTGGGGTGGAAATTGTCAAGTATTGAAATATTCATTGTCAAATATCTTCTTTGATTTTCTGGAATCCTTACCCATTTTTGGTTTTTTACCTGACCATGTTTAGAGAAATAAGTAGACAAAATATATATGCATGTGTTTTATCTAGCCCCAATTTATTTTTCTAAAATTGATGATATATTTTTCCTTTTGGTTCACTCCCATGAAATAGAAGATCAACTAAAACTCACAAGAATGTCAGAGATTACTTAAATAACAAATATAGATATCTTGGGTTTCCTCTCTCAGGATAGTTTCCTGTTCAAGTAACTGACCTTACAGACAGAACCTCAGAGGAGAACCAACTAGATCTGCATCAAAGGACCTTCATTTACAAATGTAAGGTAAATAACTTACCCTATAGTTTACTCTGTTTAGAAAACAACCAGAACCATTAATAAGATTACTAATAGTGTCTTATTAAGTGAAACTTGTTTTGTTACTAGAAGAATACTCAAATGCTATATTTACGAGTAAAAAAGTGAAAATATTTCATTGTTTTTTAAATTATACTTTAAGTTTTAGGGTACATGTGCACAATGTGCAGGTTTGTTACATATGTATACATGTGCCATGTTGGCGTGCTGCACCCAGTTACTCGTCATTTAACATTAGGTATATCTCCAAATGCTATCTCTCCCCCCTCCCTGCACCCCACTACAGGCCCTGGTGTGTGATGCTCCCCTTTCTGTGTCCACGTGTTCTCATTGTTCAATTCCCACCTATGAGTGAGAACATGCAGTGTTTGATTTTTTGTCCTTGCGATAGTTTGCTGAGAATGATGGTTTCCAGCTTCATCCATGTACCTACAAAGGACATGAACTCATCATTTTTTATGGTTGCGTAGTATTCCATGGTGTATATGTGCCACATTTTCTTAATCCAGTCTATCATTGTTGGACTTTTGGCTTGGTTCCAAGTCTTTACTATTGTGAATAGTGCCGTGGTAAACATACGTGTACATGTGTCTTTATAGCAGCAAGATTTATAATCCTTTGGGTATATACCCAGTAATGGGATGGCTGGGTCAAATGGTATTTCTAGTTCTAGATCCCTGAGGAATCGCCACACTGACTTCCACAATGGTTGAACTAGTTTACAGTCCCACCAACAGTGTAAAAGTGTTCCTATTTCTCCACATCCTCTCCAGCACCTGTTGTTTCCTGACTTTTTAATGATCGCCATTCTAACTGGTGTGAGATGGTATCTCACTGTGGTTTTGATTTGCATTTCTCTGATGGCCAGTGATGATGAGCATTTTATCATGTGTCTTTTGGCTGCATAAATGTCTTCTTTTGAGAAGTGTCTGTTCATATCCTTCGCCCACTGTTTGATGGGGTTGTTTGTTTTTTTCTTGTAAATTTGTTGGAGTTAATTGTAGATTCTGGATATTAGCCCTTTGTCAGATGAGTAGATTGCAAAAATTTTCTCCCATTTTGTAGGTTGCCTGTTCACTCTGATGGTAGTTTCTTTTGCAGTGCAGAAGCTGTTTAGTTTAATTAGATCCCATTTGTCAGTTTTGGCTTTTGTTGCCATTGCTTTTGGTGTTTTAGACATGAAGTCCTTGCCCATGCCTATGTCCTGAATAGTATTGCCTAGGTTTTCTTCTAGGATTTTTATGGTTTTAGGTCTAACATTCAAGTCTTTAATCCATCTTGAATTAATTTTAGTATAAGGTGTAAGGAAGGGATCCAGTTTCAGCTTTCTACATATGGCTAGCCAGTTTTCCCAGCACCATTTATTAAACAGGGAATCCTTTCCCCATTTCCTATTTTTGTCAGGTTTGTCAAAGATCAGATAGCTGTAGATATGTGGCATTATTTCTGAGGGCTCTGTTCTGTTCCATTGGTCTATATCTCTGTTTTGGTACCAGTACCATGCTGTTTTGGTCACTGTAGCCTTGTAGTATAGTTTGAAATCAGGTAGCATGATGCCTCCAGCTTTGTTCTTTTGGCTTAGGATTAACTTGGCAATGCGGGCTCTTTTTTTGGTTCCATGTGAACTTTAAAGTAGTTTTTTTCCAATTCTGTGAAGAAAGTCATTGGTAGCTTGATGGGGATGGCATTGAATCTATAAATTACGTTGGGCAGTATGGCCATTTTCACGATATTGATTCTTCCTACCCATGAGCATGGAATGTTCTTCCATTTGTTTGTATCCTCTTTTATTTCATTGAGCAGTGGTTTGTAGTTCTCCTTGAAGAGGTCCTTCACATCCCTTGTAAGTTGGATTCCTAGGTATTTTATTCTCTTTGAAGCAGTTGTGAATGAGAGTTCACTCATGATTTGGCTCTTTGTTTGTCTGTTATTGGTGTATAAGAATGCTTGTGATTCTTGCACATTGATTTTGTATCCTGAGACTTTGCTGAAGTTGCTTATCAGCTTAAGGAGATTTTGGGCTGAGACAATGGGGTTTTCTAGATATACAATCATGTCGTCTGCAAACAGGGACAATTTGACTTCCTCTTTTCCTAATTGAATACCCTTTATTTCCTTCTCCTGCCTAATTGCCCTGGCCAGAACTTCCAACACTATGTTGAATAGGAGTGGTGAGAGAGGGCATCCCTGTCTTGTGCCAGTTTTCAAAGGGAATGCTTCCAGTTTTTGCCCATTCAGTATGATATTGGCTGTGGGTTTGTCATAGATAGTTCTTATTATTTTGAGATACGTCCCATCAATACCTAATTTATTGAGAGTTTTTAGCATGAAGTGTTGTTGAATTTTGTCAAAGGCCTTTTCTGCATCTATTGAGATAATCGTATGGTTGTTGTCATTGGTTCTGTTTATATGTTGGATTACATTTATTGATTTGTGTATGTTGAACCAGCCTTGCATCCCAGGGATGAAGCCCACTTGATCATGGTGGATAAGCTTTTTGATGTGCTGCTGGATTCGTTTTGCCAGTATTTTATTGAGGTTTTTTGCATCGATGTTCCTCAGGGATATTGGTCTAAAATTTCATTGTTTTAAATACAGTTATTTATTTAAGTAATTATTAAGCAAATAAAGCAAACTGTTAAGCAAAGGAGCCTTCATAACAATGCTGGTTCTTCTGGCTTGGAAAGATTTGCAGCATAATCAGAGAGCCTATGTTTTACTGACTTTAATCAACTTCCCTTGTGTACTCTAGACAGCCTCAAAATTATTCAATTATCACATCTCTCAAACGGCATTTTCTTAAATCAGGCACAGAAACTCACTTTGGTGAGAAAGTAAGAGGGCCTTGTGCAAAAGCCTTTTCTTTTGTAAAGCAGTACAGCCAAGTTTAGGGTCTGACCGAACAATACAGAATATAATTATTTCAACAGACATTACAACTTGCTAATTTATAAACTCTCCCTCCTTCTGGAGCCCTCACCTCCACCCCACACACAGAGTTAACTCTCCTTGAGAAAACATCTATTCATTCCCCTTCAGGACCACACTTGAAATATAAATGACCGGAAAAAAAAAAAGACTATTTTCAAAAGCACTAGAGATGTGTACCTTTCAGAGAGAATGCTAGGAGATTTAGATTTCATACTGCAGTGTGGGTGTTTTGCCCTTTTTCTGTCTTCATTGGAATTAGGAACAATTTTCCACTCTGTTTTGGTGATCATTTCCCATTTGCTCATGATGACGCCAATATTATGCTACTTCCCCTTTTTAGCTCTATGCTGAATAATTGCAAATTTTTTAACTTGCCTAATTTTTCTATTTTTACAATTCTTTCCTCAGATATGTGGCTCTTTTTTGAACTGTTTTCAAATTCTCTAAGTTTTTACTTACAAAGTCTTAGAGATTGCTTGCTTATCTCTCCAGGGTTTGCCTAGGGATGAATAAAATTGAGGGGCAGCTAATATAGGCTATTTTTCTAAATGTATAAAATTATTTTTTATTGTGGTAAAAAGAGTCAACATGACAATGACTCTCTTAACAAAATTTCAAGTGTACAATACAGTGTTTTTAACTATAAGCATAATGTTATACAGAGTATCTCTGGAACGTATTCATTTTGCATAACTGAAGCTATATAAATGTTGACCAGCAACTCACCATTTCCCCTTACTCCTTCAGCCCCTGATAAACACCATTCTACACTCTGTTTCAATGAATCTGACTACTTAAGATTCCTTATGTAAGTAGAATCATGCAGTACTTGTCCTTCTGTGCCTGGCTTATTTCAGTTAGTCCAATGCCCTCCAGGTTTATCCATGTTGTTACATATAACAGGATTTTCTTCTTTAAGGCTGAATAGAATTTTATTGTTTATTTATATGACATACTATTTTTATCCACTCATCTATGGGTGGACGTTTGATTTGGGTTTTTTCCACATATTGGTCATTGTAAATAGTGTTGCAATGAACGTAGGAGTTCTAATGTCTCTACAGGATTCTGATCTAAATTCTTTTGAATATGTTCTCAAAAGTGGGATTGCTGGCCAGGTGTGGTGGCTCACGCCTTTAATCCCAGCTCTTTGGGAGGCTGAGGCAGGTGGGTCACCTGAGGCCAGGGGTTGGAGACCAGCCTGATCAACATGGTGAAACCCCATCTCTGCTAAACATAAAAAAAATTAGCTGGGTGTGGTGGCACAGGCCTGTAATCCCAGCTACTTGGGAGGCTGAGGCAGGAGAATCGCTTGAACCCGAGAGGCTAAAGTTGCAGTGAGCAGAGATCTCGCCGTTGCACTCCAGCCTGGGTGACAAGAGCAAAACTCCATCTCAAAACAAAAACAAAAACAAAAACAAAAGTGGGATTGCTGGATCATAAAGTAGTTGAGGAACCTTCATACTGTTTTCCTAGCAACTGCACCATTTTACACTCCCACCAACAGTATGTAGCAATTCCAATTTCTTCACATCTTGACCAACATTTATTATCTTTTGTATTTCTTTTCTTGAGACAGAGTCTCGCTCTATCGCCCAGGCTGGAATGAAGTGGCATGATCTCGGCTCACTGAAACCTCTGCCTCCCAGGTTCAAGCAATTCTTTGCCTCAGCCTCCCGAGTAGCTGAGATTACAGGTGCCCACCACCACGCCCAGCTAATTTTTGTATTTTTAGTAGAGACGGGGTTTCACCATCTTGGCCAGGCTGGTCTCGAACTTCTGATCTCATGATCCACCTGCCTCAGCCTCCCAAAGTGCTGGGATTACAGGCGTCAGCCACTGCGCCTGGCCTGTATTTCTTTTAAATAATATTCATTCTAATGGCTGTGAGGTGATATCTTATTTTGGTTTTGATTTGCATTTCACTGATAATTAGTGACGTTGATCATCTTTTCATATACCCATTGGCCATTTGTATGTCTTTTTTGAGAAGTGTCTATTCACATCTTTTTTTTTTTTGCTATTGAGTTATAGGAGTTCCTTATATATTTTTAATATTAGATCTTTATCAGATATGTGGTATGCAAATACTATCTCCCATTCTAAAGGTTGTCTTTTCACTCTTTTGATTGTTTGCTTTGCTGTGCAGCAGCTTTTTAGCTTGATGTAGTTCCACTATTTTATTTTTGTTTTTTTGCATGTGCTTTTGGTGGTTTCTTTTATTATTTTATTCATCAGATGTGTACAGCAAATCTACTGTATGCTAGGAGCTGTTTCAGGTGCTGGGGATACAATAGAGAACTAAACAGACACAATTATGAAGTTTATAATATTCTGGGACTTTACATGTATTGTTGGTTTTAATATTTCTTCATTAAAAAGGTAAAGTTGCAGATTCCAATTTGCTTTGTTACCCATATGGTCTAGTTGCCATTCCCCATCTTGTATCTGTGATGGTAGTCAACTGGAGGAAGAGAAAGATGCCACCCCTAAGGTTGGTTGAAAATAGAGGATGTTTGAAAATAGACTGGTAGTAGCCAGAAACTAGGATTATGGAGTGCCTGAGGGTCAGATTCCTTCACATTTGATGGTCACTGACAACCATTTTCCATTACTGAACTTAAACAATAGTGTTTTCTCTGAAACTATGGCCAACACAGTCAGAGAGGAAAACATACTTTTTCCAAATGAGAAAAAAATACACATTACAGACACTCTTTGTACAGGGTCTTAATACTGCTTCCTATAATGATTACTCCAAGCTACTTGAAGACACCATACCGAGCATCTCAGTGAAAGCTAGTATAGGGCACCATGTATTTTTCTAAAACGTTGTTTTATAAATATCTTTTAATCTGTTTGTAAAGTAGAAGAACCAAGAATAATAAAAACTGATGCTTTAGTATAGGCTTTTCAGAGTAAAAAAAAAAAAAACAGTGCAAACGCAGTCAGCAAACATTTGATTTTAAAACCTTACTTTTTTATTAAAGGGAAATATGTATTCCAATATGTGAAAAGAAATATAACTAAAACATGTAGAAATCTAGCTTCCTCATTCATTTTCCCTGATATAGGAAAAGAAGGGGGAGTGGATATTATGTGTATAATATAGTGGAAGGGGGAAGATTTAAGAAGAGGAGAATGTGAAAATTCTACTGTAAATTATTCGTTTAATCAATTAATTATTGAAGCAATAATATTTATTTAAAATTAAGCATAGCATTTTACCTTACTTAAATACTCACTGTAGAAGAAAACTAGGTGGATTGAAAGATTAAAGTCAAAAAAGTATTTCATTACATGTTTGTATAACAACAAAATTAATGAGTTAAAATAAGATGCATGTTACATTATGAAACATATCATCGAGTGTAAAGAATAAGAAATTGGAATGATTGAGGGGACACAAACAATTATAAAGTGGCAGAAAATATGTGGTCATTTCAGATAGTCATAAATGCTGTCAATAAAATAAAACAAGATAAGGGATTACTTTAAATAAGATGTTTAGGGAGCAAAGGCTACAATCCAGTGAGAGTGAGTCATGCAAGTACCTGAAGGAGGTTCAGTGCAGTTGACTTGGTAAAGACTGGCTACTAACATGACAGTAAAAGCCATTTATTCGCGATACTGTCAATATGTAGTCAACTATATGCCTTGGTTTTTGTTGCAATCATTTAGAAAGGAACGCTTCTTTTAAATAAGAAAAGAATCAGAGTGTGCAGCATGGTTGTTAGATTCAGAGCCCAAGCCTCAAAGCATACCAGATTGCATTTGAAGTAGATATCAGAGAAATATGGAATTCACACCCAAAATTCACAATTCCAGTCTTTCTGTTAATGTCTTTAATCTTTCTCTGCTTTCTCTATTATCAAGAGCCCTGGTTATAGTACCTAGGTTCTAAAAATTCTAGCATCTTTTTAAGCTGAAATCCTGCTTATTAAAGCCTCTTTGTTTTGAGACAGGGTCTCGCCCTGTCACCCAGGCTGGAATGCAGTGACACAATCATAGCTCACTGCAACCTTTACTTCATCAGCCCAAGCAATCCTCCCTTCTCAGCCTCCCAAGTAGCTGGGACAACAGGCATGCACCACCATGCCCAGTTAATATATATATTTTTTTTATTTTTGTAGAGACGGGGCCTGACTATGTTGCCCGGGCTGGTCTTGAACTCCTGGACTCTGGTGATCCTCTCACTTCAGCCTCCCTAGGTGCTGGGATTACAGGTGTGAGCCACACCCCCAGACTTAAAGCCACTTTTATTAATACTAATGCTGATAACAATAACACCAGCAGCCTCTGACATTAATTAGGTGGTTATTATATGTCAAGCACTGTACTAGGCACATTTACTTGTATTATTTCATATAACTTTCACACCTTCGTGGAAAGGTAAGTATCATCTCAATTTTATAGATGAGAAAGGTGAGACTCTGAAAGATGCGGTAATTTACCCCAAATCTAAGTAGGTAGTAAGTAGAAGTATCCAAGTCTTCCTAACTTCAAAACCTGTGTTCCTTCTTTATCACCCTTTTGTCTTTTTTTTCAGCTCAGTTCTCAGTTGTAGACAAGGAATTATGAAAATATTTGAGCAATGAAAGGAGGGGAAAGATTATAGTAGAGGGTAAGTTGGGATACAAAAAGGAAGATGTAGAATATGAGAGTAGAGAGTTTACATATTTTCTAATAAGCAACAAGAAGCAAAGGAAGGATTTTAGTGGTTGTGGCATAATAAACTTTTATTACATACTGGTGTTTTACAGGATGAATTATAGGAGATAGAGTGGAAAGAAGTTAGGACACAGGAAGAATAGCTGGGAAGCTGGGAAGAAAATGTAATGATGAGATGTCTGACTTAAAATAATGCTACTGTAATAACAAGGAAGGGAAATGGGATACCTTAAAAAAGAGTCAGGAGGGCTTGATGACTGGATAATATTTCTATAAATTCTCTTAGAAATATAAAACAATCATGACTTTTGGGCTGAAATGGAGCAAGGGAAAAGGAAATATCAGAAAACATTTAAAGATATTTAGCCCAAATAACTTGATTTATAGTAACAACATCCCAGAGACTTCATGGGATTATATTTATTATTGAACATGTATTGATTTAGTCACATTAAATTTGTTCACATTAAACTATTATTTCTTATTACATAAACTTTCAAACAGTTATTTTCAAAAAATCTACAAGTCATTATTATTACTGTTACTTCTTTAATTATTCAGTTTGCTCGCTGAATAATTTTACAGACGAGAGCTGTCTTACTTCAGCCCACTCTTAACAGAATACCATAGATTGGGTGACTTAAATAACAGAATATTTTTTCATGCATTTCTGGAGGCTGGAAAGTACAACATCAAAGCACTTGCAGATCTGGTGTCTGGAGAGGGCACTCTTTCTGGTTTGCAGATTGCCATATTGTCATATCCTCACATGGTGGGGAACAAAGAGAGAAAGGAAGTTGACTCCTGTCTTTTTACAATGGCCCCAACTTCCTGATCTGATCACCTACCAAAGGTCTCTCCTTCTGATATCATCACATGAGGGGTTAAAATTTCAACATAAAATTTTTGGGGAACATGAACATTCAGTCCATAGTCTGAGCCAGAATTTCTTCTTAGATTTTTCATATGTGTACCTTGATAAAATAACAATCCATTTAAATGTGTTTACCCTTTACCTGGCAAATATTTTAGTAGTAAAACTTTTGGAATATTTATTATGAAAATACATGATGTAGACATTATAAATTTATAAAATTTAATATTTGACATAGTTCCCCCAACATGTCTTTACTGTTTTGCTCTTTTAAGGATTTTCATCATTTTTTGTAAAAGGCCTACTCTTCACTGTGATTTTAGCTGCTTTCCTAAAAAAAAAAAATGGAATAAAATGTTGATAGCAACCATATTAAAATATTTCTTATTCTTCTTATATGTGAAGAAGAAAATCTACTGGTTTTTACATAGCAGGTATTATGTTGTTAATTTGTGAAATATGGAATCTGAAATATATGAGCTTCTGGAAATTTTATAAGTGCTTATGTATTCAAACATTTTTGTCTAAATTAACATTAGTACAGAATTTAAAAGTCAGTAGTCAACTTAATTTCAGGCTTGCTAAAATGGATAATGAATATCTTTAGGATAATTTATGTAAATATCCTTCTTAAACATGATAAACATGTATTTACATATTGTATATAATGTCCGGAATGTTCAAGAAATAAACTTAGTAAACATTATCACCTTCATCATCATCTTCTCTACCTTCATCATGCTTAAATATTATCATGGTTATATTTTATATTTAAACAATGAAATTCGGATCAAAAGATTAGTCTGACAAAAACAAAGTTATTTCAGTAGAAATATCTGGAAAAACATCCCTGCCACTATTAGCTTACACAATAACAAAATACTATTCAGCAAGTTCTTCATAGGCTATCAAAAGGAAATATTATTTTTTCTATAGGAACTATAATATATAAATGAGAGAAGGAGAATATTTATGCATTTCAGTCATATTTAACAAAATAAGAGGAAAGCTGAATGTCTTTAGTGACTTGGCATTATCACCAAATTATAATTTCACCAGACTCTAAGAAACAGTTTAATAGACACAGTAATGGTTGATGCATTTTAACTCTTAAATAACTTGGCTTATAATGTGAATAAGTTGTATTACTATGTTAATGGCTTTAACAGGTTGGTGAACACGTGGAGGTATTGGGAGGGTAGCATGCCTGGGTAGGGCACAGAAGCTCTGTGCCCCTTCCTCCATACCTTGCCCTATGTTTCTGTTTCATCTGACTGTTTCTGAGCTGCATCTTTTTATAATAAACAAGTAATCTATTAAGTTAATTCTTTTCTTGGGTTCTGTGAGCCATTCTAACAAATGATGAAACCCGATGATAATCATGGAAATGTCTGTTTTCTAGCTGGTTGGTCATAAGCACAGATGGCACTTGGATTTGTGATTGGCATCTAAAGTGAGGGCAATCTTGTGGAACTCAACCCTTAACCTGATGCTAACTCCAGATAGATAGTGTCAGATTTAGTTAAATTGTAGGACACTTAGCTGGTGTCTACAAAGAATTAAATAATTTATTGGTGAGAGAAAGAAACCACACATCTGATGATGTCAGAGTATACAGAAAAAATAATTGGTTTCTCCTATACACTCTGCTTTACAGCTTATTGCCATAATTTGTGGTAAAGTAATTCTTACCACCCTATTGTGTCCGGAGTTGGTTCCTTTCAGTGGGTTCTCAGTCTCGCCAACTTCAAGAATGAAACCGTGGACCTTCGCGGTGAGTGTTACAGCTCTTAAAGGTGGCAGGGACCCAAAGAGTGAGCAGCAGCAAGATTTATTGTGAAGAGCGAAAGAACAAAGCTTTCACAGCATGGAAAGGGACCTGAGTGGGTTGTCACTGCTGGCTGGAGAGGCCTGCTTTTATTCCTTTATTTGTCCCCGTCCACATCCTGCTGATTGGTCCATTTTACAGAGTGCTGATTGGCCCATTTTACAGAGTGCTGATTGATGCATTTACAATCCTTTAGCTAGACACAGAGTGCTGATCGGCGCGTTTTTACAGAGTGCTAATTGGTGCATTTACAACCCTCTAGCCAGACACAGAGCACTGATTGTTGCGTTTTACAATCCTTTTGTAAGACAGAAAAGTTCTCCAAGTCCCCACTCTACCCAGGAAGTGCAGCTGGCTTCACCTGTCACTATTACAGCATGCCAAATCAGTTATGTAATGTTTTCACATTGTAGTTGTTAAAGGAAGAGCAAATATCAGTTTTTTAAAATTACCTAAATTACAATTCCTTCTTTTATTCATTGACAAAATATTTAGTGACTACCTCTCTCCTGCTTCTTTTAGTGAGTATATAAAATAGCCAACAACTAGTCCAGGAGCTGGCATTAACCTGAAAAGGAAAATAAAGGTGATTTCTTCAAGCCAGAGTCTCAATGGAAAATTCAAAGAAATAGTCTATCAATTACAAAATGTGATAAAGGTGTATGACAGAAAAACAAGTGCACAGGCATAATACCTAATATGTAGTGGGCAAAGAATTCACAAAGAAAGAGGTAGAAATGAGGAAAAGAAAGAAGGATATAAGTAGGATCTCACCAGTAATAAAGAAAATGCAAATCAAAATACATATCAATTTCCAGTCTGGACAAGATGGAACGGATATATTTTATCTTTCTTCTCTCCACTAAGTACAATAAAAAACCCTGGGCATGATACAAGAAGCAATCAAACAACTCTGAAAAGGTGATAAAGTAGGTGTATTGGTTTGAGAACCTGGGACTGGTGACACACCATAGCAGCAGAGCATCACACCTCCTCCCACAGAACAAAATGTGACTCAGACCTAGCATTTTCAAAAGCCAAATCCAGTCATAGAAGGCAGTCCAGATAGGCCCATTCTTTCATTTAACAACACACTAAGGAAGTCTGACATCATCAACAAGGAGGATTGATTAGGAACCCTAAGAACAATAAGCAGCCAAAAAAAGTGCTTTCCTTTCTTGCAGGACTGAGAATTTCCTTCCCCCACTGAGAGATACCGAGGGGAGAGAGGCAAGAAGGATCTTGCAAAAACGAATGGTGTGGCCCAGAAAGTCTCTCTTTTCAGGGTCTGAGAGTTCCATACCCTTCTCAGAGATACAAGGGAAATCGTGAGACCCAGGTAAGGAGGTCCCACCTCAACAAGGGTCCTGGCCCAAAAAGCTCTCTCAATCCCCCTCAGGTAAGGCAGATCCTGCCAAAACAAATACCAAGCCAGAGAACCCTCCTCTCCCCCACAGGCCTCACAGTCTCTTCCCCTGCTGGGATACAAAGTGTCAGGCAGGTACGATGGGCAGGAAGAGCCCAGCCACAGTGGACGGTCATTCTCAGAAAGTCTCTTTTTCTCAATGGGCCTGAAAATACCCTCTTCCACCCAGAGACACAGGGGCAACTGGAAGGCCTTGGTAGGAATTCTTAGGAACCAGTAACATTGTTAAGGAAACCTCTTCATCTCAGGGGACCTGGGACTCCCTTTTCCCATGGAAAGACACTGGCCAAGGAAAATCCCTTCTGCAACTATAGCCATTGCTGTCATGGACAAGTAGGAGATAAGTATCACATAAACTGAAAAAAACAAAATAACACAACAAAGCCTCTGAAAATATACTGTCATAGAAACCACAGTCCAGAAAAGTAGACCAGAATCTGCATGCTGACTATAAACAGAATGAAGATCTGATGAAATTAAAGATATAAATAGACCCAGAGTCTGCTGGCATAATAGAAGAAATATTCAGGATACAGTTGAAAATCACTGGTCACACTAAGAATAAAGAAAATCACAACTTAAATGAGAGGAAACAATCAACTGATGCCAACATTGAGACAAATCAGATGTCGTTAATTGTCGAATTATCTAACAAGGATTTCAAAGCACACATCATAAAAATATTTCAGCAGTGCATTACAAAGTCTCCTGAAACAAATGGAAAATAGAACATTTTGAAATGAAATAAGTTATAAAAAATGGAAATTTTAGAAAAATACATTAACAGAAAAAAAAGCTTGAATGAACTGTAAGAGAAAGAAGTCACTGAACTTTAGGATAGATCAACAGCATTCACCCATTCTGAACAAGAGAGGAAACAGATTTTTTTTTTTTTAGAGAGCCAAAATATATAATGATTTGCATCTTTGTAGCCCAACAAGAGAGAAGGGTTGAAAGACTATATAGGGAAATAATAGTTTAAAACATCCCAAACTTGGTGCAAAACAGTAATTCGGAGATTCAATAATATGAATGTACTTTAATTAGATAAACTCAAAGAAATTCACATATCATAATTAAATTTCTGAAAACTAAAGACAATATTAAATACGGAAAGCAGCTAGAGAAAAATGATGCATTGCTGTTAGGAGAATACCAATATCCTAATGATAGTGGATTTCTCACCATAAATTATGAAGCCAAAATCTAAAGTGTCATAATATCTTGTGGGAAGAACTGAAGAAGGTGATCTTGCTTCTGCACAGCCAGCTACAATCCATTGAGGAACATGCCTCTGACCCACCATTGTGCCTGGCCATTTACAGGAATGCTTCATCTGCATGGTCATCAACCCATTTAACCAGTTCTTTGAAGACGAATTGGACCCATTCAAGGTGCTGAAGGCAGCTGAGAACTAGAGAAAATAAGCCAGTGGGGGTGTCACTGGGGGTGCTGGGGCCAAAAGCTCATCTCAGGCCATGGCCCAGACCAACTCCAATGCCACGGACAAACAGTTGTATAAAGAGTCTCAGAAAGACAGCAAGAACCCACTTGCCCCAAAAGTTGGCATGGTTGGCAAGAGGACATATAGTGCCCATGGAGGTTAAGAAAGAAGGAATAAGGTGAATTGGAAGAAGACCCAATCAACAACTGCAAGGTGAAGGGAAAATAATTGAGATAAGACGGGGAAAGGCAACCACCTCATGAAGGAAGATTTGAAAAACCACTTGAAAAGGGTGAAAGAGGAAAATTTTATTTGATAGACCTATCATTTACCAACCCATTCGAGGCTGTGGTGGCCTTGGAAGAAGTAGAGAGGGCTGTCAAAGTGAAATGGGCCAAGGGTATGGATTTGATTTTTATGGTAAATGTGAATTTGATAGGCATGCTGGTAGGCATGCTGGAAGGCATATATCTAGCCTGAAGCACAAGGACAAACATGGAGGTAGTGGATTTTACAACTGGGGAACTGTAAATGATAAGTTAACTGACTTGGATTCATCAAATATGACCTAGGAAACACCTGAAGGTGAAGAACTTCCAGTGGCAGACACTGAAAATAAGGAGAAGGAAGTTTAAGAGGTAAAAAAGAGGGTCCAAAAGAGATGACTTTGGATAAGTGGAATGCTATTCAAAGTAAGGACTGGCCAAAAGTAGAATTTAATATCCAAAAACAAAACAAAGGTACTGATTGATGGGCACTGGAAGAAGAGATGTGCGCTTCATAAATCAAAGAGTGAAGAGACTCATGCTGAACTTGTCATTAAGGACCATCATTTTTGAAAGCCAGCAAATGATATAATGTCTCAGCGGGAGATCAATTTTGGAGACCCTGGCCCTCGAGGACTTGGTGGGAGGGGAAGACAAGGTGAATATGTGGTGGACCTCAGAACCTCAGCAGCACGACTGACAAGTCAGGTGCTTCTGTTCCTGATATGGATGACCCAGAGGCATTTCCAGCTCTGGCTTAACTGAATGCAATAGAACAACCATGGTTCCTTTGTGGAATTTCCTGTTCAATGCCTTTGCATGCTTAAGGATTCGAAACAATGAAGAAATCATGTTTTAAACAGGCTGTCATTCACACAATTCACACTTAAAGACTGAATTGTATCTGTTTTAATAATGAACTTCTCGGCAGCGCGGTGGCTCATGCCTGTGATCCCGGCACTTTGGGAGACCAAGGCGGGCGGATCACGAGGTTAGGAGATTGAGGCCATCTTGGTTAACACGGTGAAATCCCGTCTGTACTAAAAATACAAAAAATTAGCCGGGCGTGGTGGCGGGCGCCTGTAGTCCCAGCTACTCGGCAGGCTGAGGCAGGAGAATGGCGTGAACTCTGAAGGCGGCTGTTGCAGTGAGCCAAGATAGCGCCACTACGCTCCAGCCTGGGCGACAGAGCGAGACTCCGTTTCAAAAAAAAAAAAAAGAACTTCTCTCACTACATAAAATTAACAAATATGGTAGTCAGTTTTGTATTTAAAAATGTATTGGTAGCTATGTTTTTATAAATATCAGGAATTATGCATTCTTCATGAATACTTTTGTATTGCTGCTTGCAAATTTGCATTTCCAAGCTTGAAATATAGGTGTGAAATGTGTATACTAGTTTAAAGCTTTCACTTCATTTATTTTTTTTATTTTAAATTTTTTGTGGATACATAGTAGGTGTGCATATTTATGGGATACATGAGATATTTTGATACAGGCATGCAACATGAAATATTCACATCAAAGTATATGGGATATCCGTCACCTCAAACATTTATCCTTTGTATTACAAACAAACCAATTATACTCTTTTAGTTATTTTTAAAATGTATAATTAGATTATTTTTACTATGGACACTCTGTTGTTCTATCTAATACTAGGCATTATTCATTCTTTCTATTTTTTGTACCCATTAACCATCGCCACTTCCCTCCACCACCAATCCCTACTACCCTTCCCAGTCCCTGGTAATCATCTTTTTACTGTCTGTCTCCATGATTTCAATTGTTTTGATTTTTATATCCCACAAATAAATGAGAATTTGTGATGTTTGTCTTTCTGTGCCTGGCTTATTTCACTTAACATAATGATCTCCAGTTCCATAGATGTTGTTGCAAATGACAAGATCTCATTCTTTGTTATGGCTGAATGGTACTCCATTGTGTATATGTACCACTATTACTTTATCCATTCATCAATTGATGGACACATATGTTGCTTCCAAATCTTAGCTATTGTAAACAGTGTTGCAGCAAATATAGGAGTGCAGATATCTTTGATATACTGATTTACTTTCTTTTGGGTATATACCCAGCAGTGGGATTGCTGGATCATATGATAGCTCCACATTTAGTTTTTTGAGTAACCTCCAAACTGTTCTCCACTGTGGTTTTACTGATTCACATTCCAGCAAGAGTGTACAAGGGTTTCCTTTTCTCCATATCCTACCAGCATTTTTTATTGCCTGTCTTTTGGATATAAGACATTTTAACTGGGGTGAGGTGATATCTCATTGTAGTTTTCATTTGCATTTCTCTGAAGATCAATGATGTTGAGCACCTTTTGCCATATGTATGTCTTCTTTTTAGACATTTCTATTCAGATCTTTTGCCCATTTTTCAATTTAATTATTAGACTCTTTTTCTATAGAGTTTTTTAAGCTCCTTATATATTCTGGTTATTAATCCCTTGTTAGATGGGTAGTTTGCAAATATTTTCTCCCATTCTGTGGGTTGTCTCTTCACATTGTTGGTGGGTTTTTTCTTGTTGTTGTTTTCGTTTTTGTTTCTGTGTAGAAGTTTTTTAACTTGATGTGATCCCATTTGTCATTTGTGCTTTGGTTGCCTGTGTTTGTGGGATATTACTCAAGAAACTTTGCCCAGATCAAGTCCTGGAGAGTTTCCCCAACATTTTCTTGTAGTAGTTTCATAGATTGAGGTCATAGATTTATCTTTCATTCATTTTTCTGTGTTTTTTCTGTTTGTCAAGAGATAAGGGTCTAGTTTCATTCTTCTGCATATAGATATCCAGTTTTACCAGCACCATTTATTGAAGAGACTGTCTTTTCCTAGGTGTATGTTCTTGGCACCTTTGTGAAAAATGAGTTCACTGTAGTATGTGGATTTGTCTCTAGGTTCTCTATTCTGTTCCCTTGGTCTACATGTCTGTTTTTATGCCAGTGCCATGCTGTTTTTGTAAACATAGCTCTGTAGCATACTTTGAAGTGTGGTGATGTGATTCCTCAAGCTTTGTTATTTTTGCTCAGGAAAGCTTTGGCTATTCTGAGTCTTTTGTGGTGCCATATAAATTTTAGAATTTTGTTTCTATTTTTTGAGGAATGTCATTGGTATTCTGATAGGGATTGCATTGAATCTGTAGATTGGTTTGGTTAGTATGGACATTTTAACAATATTGATTATTCCAATCCATGAACATGAAATATCTTGTCATCTTTTGGTGTCCTCTTCAATTTCTTTCATCAGTGTTTTATAGCTTTCATTGTAGAGAGGTTTTACTTCTTTGGTTAATTCCTAGGTATTTACTTGTATTCATGGCACTTGTAAATGGGATTACTTTTTTATTTCTTTTTCAGATTGTTCACTGTTGGCCTATAGAAATGCCACTAATGTTTATCATTCGTGTTTTTTAATCAAGGATTTAAATGTTCTCTCAATTACAAACTGGTTTTAAATATTGAACATATCAGTTTTAATACCTGCTTTGCATTTTCACACATGGTCAACTGGCACATGTTGAACTTTGATTTGTTTAATATTTTTCTTTTTGTGGAAAAATTTTTTTTCTTTTGTCATGATATCCAGATATATACATGTGTATATACTAAATATGCTCAGAAATATCAGTACTTGAACCAATTCAAAGCATATTGGTTTAATAGCTCTTGCTTCTTGCATGGTTCATTAGGTTACTTTTCAAATGTATGACTTTCCCATTTTAAAAGCCAAACCAGACACTTTATTGGTGAGAGCTATTTAAGCTACTTATCGTTGATAGACACATTCTGTGAAGTGAAGTTGTTTTATGGGTATGGGTTTTACCCACTCCAACAGGGTGGGTGGAATAAGTTGATTTGGCTAATGTGTAGCATTTAAACTCTTCTATAAAATAAGTGTCTGGCCAATTGATATAATTTCTGTGTGTGAAAATCTCCAAAATCAAAATGGTATATCCATAATTGATAACTCTTTAATCATTCCTTTTTCTAACAAACAAAAAACAAAAGACAGTGGTTAGTATGATGAGAAGGATAGTATTTTAATTTTTGGAATTTGGAAAGCAGACAGTTTTACTTTACAAGGTTGGAACAGCATCACCATCCATGAAATATAAACCCCAAATCTTTACTGTTTCTGGATTTCTTATATTGCTATTATTTGGTCATAAGTTGATAGAGGAATATTTGTTCCACAGAAAGCAATAATTATTTTTCCTCTTCCTCCATTAGAAAATTAGGTTAATAATGAATTCCGTTAATGGGAGCATCACCACTTATTAAAACATATACGGAGAGAATGATGCATAAAACAGATTTTCTAGGAGAAAAAATAGTGTCACAACAATTTGGAAGTGATCAAAGAAAGAAATTGTTAACATCAGATTCTATATCTAGCAAAACTATTCTTCAGAAATGAAGGGGAAATTAGAAACTTTATCAGATTAAAGGAAACTGAAAGAATTTGTCTCTAGCATACCTACTCTTAAAGGCTAAAGGAAGTTTGTCAAACAATTAAAGAGATAAAAGAAATAACCTTGGAGCATCAGGAAGGAAGAAGAACAACTGAAAGATTATAAATATGTGTACATAAATGGGCTATTGTTTTTCTCATGAGTTTTAGAAATTATATCAAGTCAATTATATGTGTGTATATATATATTTGGAGACAGGGTCTCTCTCTGTCACCCAGGCTAGAGTGCAGTAGTGCGATCACAGCTCACTGCACTCTTGAACTTCTGGGCTCAAGCAATCCCTTTGCCTCAGCCTCCAACATAACTGGGACTACAGGCCCATGCCACCACATTCATGCTTTCATTTTGAAACAATTTTTAAGTGCACTCTAATAGATATATGATTGCTTTTATCACTTGATTTTCAATTAATGCAGAATGCCAAGTGGTGTTTTTGCTTTATTTCCATTACTGCTCCAGCCCTTTCAATGGCCGTTCATTCAAAAGGAGATTTTATTTCAACTTTTAATGAATATTTGTAAATGGTACTTAAGACTTTGTTAGGCAGAGCAGTAATAGAGCTCTGCCTAATTAAACTGTAACAACCAACATTTACACATAATTTATTAGAAGTGGACATATTCTTTAAAAAAAACACAGTTATGTGGCCTGAACATGATATAGCTAATATAACACATGAAAAATAATGAGCATGTGTCTTCCTATTGTTTTTGAAGATGGCTGCTGAAAAGCAACCTAATAACGTTGCATATTACTTACTTAGTGAGTATTGGGTGATTATGAACTTCTACTATGACTTTTGATGAGTCATGTGTAAATTATTCATTGTAGAAGAAGGCAAAACCATATGGCACATCATCTGTTGAGTATATTTGTGTTCAATGATGCCCAGCGTCATATCCCTAGCAAATTATTACATGCTGTTTGTTATTCAGAGACTAAGTAAAAGGAGTTGGTGGTCTCATTTTAATGGCCAATAAAACCTTATTTACATCACATAATTACCTGATAAAGCCCCTCCCCCCCTTGACTGACTGACGATCAAGGTAGGAGGTTAAAACAGACTAAATAAGACAGACTTAACCCATTCTACATATAGTCTCCTTGAGATAGAATTAAGGTTGTTATAAAGGGAATATAGTGACTTAACGCACATATCAAACTCAGCAATTAGAAAATGTCAATTGTTAATTGTGAAATTTTCAGTCTCTGAATTAACTTAAAGTAATAACCTTTCATTCTTGCTTTACAGGTTATAATTAGTTTAAATAGACCACTTTAGTTCCATTTATAGTATTTATAGACAAGATAGTGTACATAGACAATTGATTGAAATCTTTTTCAGAAGAAATGCCTTTAAGCAGGAGCAAGGCTAGAGTAATTATTTTAAAACATGATCCTGAAAATAATCAACCCTCCCTACTTTTTTTCCAAAATAAAAATATGAAAGAGACTTGTTAAAATATTTACCTATACCAAAGACATAAAAAGTAAGATACTTTTGAGTTACTAATTAATTAAAAGAAGCATCTCATTGACTAGAAACATAATAACCTAAGGACTTAGGTAATTCCAACAAGAATTACCGAAAAATAGAGAAACAAAGCTTTTACAGAGGCATTTATTATTTTCATTAGTTTATATCTAGTTTATTTTTTCATTTGTCCACATGCACATGTGAACATTCATTTGGCAAACACTTACTCCATTACAATGCACTATTGTTTCCATGGGGGATTGAAAAAAAGGAAGATGACAAGATGTTGAAAGTCTAGTGAAGGAAACTCAAATGACTATCAATTGAAGGCTAATGTAGGTAGTACAACAGAAACACAGGCAAAATGTTTTGGAAACGTAACAAAGGGTTAGCTGAATTCTGACTGAGCAGATCCAGGGAAGATTTGACACCTGAGTTGGCATTTCTCAAAAAGACAAATGACATAAAAGTATAGAAACCACTGTAATATAGGAATTTGGCTCATACTCTGTGAAGAAACAACTTGCATAACTGAGACTAATGAACCCGTGGAATGATCGCATTCTATTCTTCCATGCTCCATTCAGCTAGCTCTGTCTCATCTTTAAGTGTCAGTTTGAATGTCATATCTTTAGAGTGACCTTTCCTGATCACCCCAAATGAAATATTTACCCAAAACTTTGCCTTCTACAGTAGTCCCCATTTATCCAAAATGGATAATCTTCAAGATTCCCAGCAGATGCCTGCAACTGCACATAGTACAGAACCTTATAACACTATAATTTTTCTATCTGATACCTGAAATGGCTACTAAGTGACTAATGGGCCGCAGGGTCTACAACATGTATACACTAGACAATGGGAAGATTCACATCCTGGGCAGTACTGACCCAGGAGGGTGCAAGATTTCATCATGCTGTTCAGAACGGTGTGCATTTTAAAACTTAGGAACCTTTTATTTCTGCAATTTTCCATTGACTATTTTTGCACCACTGAAACCTCAGAAAACAAAATTGCAGAAAAGATAGGACTACTGTATTTTAGTGTCCTGCTTATTTCCTTCACGGCACATAATTTATACTCTGCAGTTACTTTATTCACTTCTTGTATTGTTTTGTTTTAACATTGTTCTTCAAAGCAATGTCTCAGTCTTGTACCATTAGTGTCTACACAGTAGTACCACACAAATCTTTTTTTTAAAAAAAATGAACTGATAAAGAAATAAATGAATCCATCAATGAAATGGCTAGGATTTTGCAAAGGTGGTTAGATCTTTGACTTCAATTTTTTTTTTTTTTTTTTTTTTTACCCAGTTCTTCCTTTCTTTTTTCTACTGGTATATATTACTAAACCCTTTGGATACTGTCCCACAGTTTTTAGAAGTTCTGTTCTGTTTTTTTTATTATTCTTTTTTTTCTCTTTGCATCTCAGTTTGGGAAGTTTATACTGGTATAGTGAGGAGAAATTTGCTTCCTGTTGTTGGAAAAGTTTTAAAATATTATTAATATTTAATATTAAAATTATATTATAATAATTACATATTATTTAAAAGGTTGTTAATTTTCTGTTTGTCCAGCACTTTCTTGATATAAGGAGTGATGGCTTACAAGGTCATTTCATGTCAGAACAGAAACTTGAAGTATAGGTTCACCGTTAATTTACTTTGTTCATTGGCCCTTCTGATGCATATAGCACCACCACGTCCTTTCCCTGTTTGTTCCTAACTATGCTAAGAAACTGTAAACATTTAGTGGTCACTAAAAAACTGTTTTTCTCCT